>NC_000006.12:22484242-22787272 GCF_000001405.40 Homo sapiens
TACTAAGGTTGCAGGATGCAAGGTTAATATACAAAGGTAAATTGTTCTCTTATATGCAAGTAATGAATGAGTACAATTTGAAATTAAAAAGACAATACTATCTACATTGGTATAAATCTAACAAAATACATGCAAGATCTATATGAGGAAAACTACAAAATGCTGATAAAAGAAATCAAAAAAGAACTAAATAAATGGAAATCTGTTCCCTGTTCATGGATAGGAAGACTCAATATTGTCAAGATGTCAGTATTTCCCAACTTGATCTATAGATTGAGTACAACCCAAATCAAAATTACAGCAACTTATTTTGTAGATATCAGCAAGCTGTGTCTAAAATTTATGTGTCAATGCAAAACACCCAGAGTAGCCAACACAGTATTGAAGGAAAAGAAGAAAGTTGGAAGACTGAAACTGTCTGACTTCCAGACTTACTATAAGCTACAGTAATCAAGAGACACTGTGATATTATTAAAAGAATAGAAAATTAGGTCAATGGAACAGAATAAAGAACCTAGAAACAGACCCACATAAACATAGTCAACTAATCTTTGACATGGGAGTGAAGGCAACACAATGGAGAATAGATGTATTTTCAGCAGATCGTGGTAGAACAACTGGACATCTGCATGCAAAAAAGTGAATCTTGATACAGACCTTATACTCTTCGCAAAAATTAACCCAGAATATATTACGTACCAAAATGTAAAAAGGAAAGCTATAAAACACCTAAAAGATAACATAGGAGAAAATGAAAGTGCCCTTGGGTTTGGCAGCAACTTTTTAGATATGACACCAAAGGCACGATTCATGAAAGAAATAATTGATAAGCTGAGTTTTATTAAAATTAAAAATTTCGGGTCTCTGAAAATCATTGTCAAGAGAATTAAAAGACAAGCCACAGACTGGGAGAAAATATTTGCAATAGACACATCTGATAAAGAATTATTATCCAAAATATACAAAGAACTTTAAAATGCAACAATAAAATAACAAACAACCCCATTCAGATGTGGGCCAGGAACTGGGCCTGTGACTTATGCTGGTAATCCCAGTGACCCAGAAAACTCAGGCAGAAGGATTGCTTGAGGCCAGAAGTTTGAGACCATCTGGGAAACATAATGAGATCCCGTCTCTAAAAAATTTTTTAAAAATTATTCCAGCATGATGGTGTGCACCTGTAATCCCAGCTACTCAGGAAGCTGAGGCAGGATCATCTGAGCTCAGGAGTTCAAGGCTGCAGTGAGCCATGATCATGCTACTCTGCACTCTGGCCCGGGCAACAGAGTGAGAACCCGACTCATTTAAAAAAGGGGCAAAGGCCTTAACAGACACCTCACTGAAAAAGACATACTTCTTTGGTGTTTGCCAAAGCATGGGGTAAGTAAGCATATTAAAAGATGTTTCACACCAAAAATTATCAGAGAAAGGCAAATTAAAACAACAGTGATATAACACTACACACCTAGTGGAATGGCCAAAACGGAAACACCAGTAATGTCAAATGCTGGTGAGAATATGGAGCAACCAGAACTCTCCTTCATTGATTTTGGGAATGCAAAATAGTACAGACATTTTGGAAGAGAGTTTGATGATTTCTTACCCAACTAAATATACTCTTACAATACTTACCAGCAACTATGCTCCTTGGTATTTACCTAAAGGAGTTAAAAACTTTTGTCTACCACAATACTTACACAGATATATAGCATCTTTATTCATAATTGACAAAGCATTAAAGGAATCAAAATGTCCTTCAGTAGGTAAATGGATAAACTGTGGTATACCCAGAAAGGGGAATATTATTCAGCACTAAAAAGAAATGAGCTGTCAGGCCATGAAATGTCATGGAAGAAACTTAAGTGCATATTACTAAGTAAAAGAAGTCAATCTGAAAAGGCTACATACTGTATGATTCCAACTACATGACACTCTGGAAATGTCAAGACTATGGAGACAGTAAAAAAAAAAAAAAAAAAAAATCAGTGGTTGGTGGGAGTTAGGGGAAAGTAAGGGATGAATAGGCAGTGCACAGAGGATTTTGAGGGCAGTGAAACTATGTGGTATGACACTATAATGGAGGATACATGTCATACATTTGTCCAGATCCCTAAAACGTAGAACTCCAAGAGAGAACCCTAATGTAGACTATGGTCTTTGGGTGGTAATGGTATTTTAATAGAAGTTCATCAATCGTAACAAATATACCATTCTGGTGGGGTTATGTGGATAATGGGGCGAGGAGGGTATGCATGGGGTAGGGGATACATGGGAAATCTCTGTACCCTTTGATGAATTTTGCTGTGAAGCTAACACTGCTTGTAAAAGATAAAGTCTGTTAATTTAAGAAGCCCTTTCAAGTCTCATTTGTGTGGAGTGGGTGGATGTTACCCAACTTTAAGGTGATGTTTAGCTAGGAAGTCAGACACAGGCATTAGAATCTGCAGGTAATTTAATTCCAAATTTCTAATGTGTAGTTTTCATTTCTAATGTGCAGTTCTGTATTTGGGTTTGTGTATGTATGTAAACTGTTGAACTAAATTGAGGAGGAACTTGTTAAACCTAAACAATGAGCCAGTTTAATTTGTCTCTGCATGCAACATCATAGTCACTTTCATTAGCCAAAGCCTCCTCCAAAATTTTCTGCTAGTCAGAGCAAGTCTTCAAATTCAATTACTTGTCAGTATCTCCACCTTATTTGGAAGTTAAAAGTTTCTGGTCTCAGGGTTCAAAGCCAGGTTTTAGGCATTTATTTCCTTTGAAGTTTCTAGATGACATTTCTAATGGCTTGCCAGAATTTTGTGGCTTTGATTTCCCTAGTCCTAAATCCAGGCAGCTCTTGTGTGACTTAAGATATGGACCTTTGGGGTGATACTGCTTTGCAAAATAAAGGAAAAAAAGAGATGAGTGGAACAAGGAGTGTAAAAGAAGAAAAGGTTGGGGAGAGCAAATAGACTAAGAAATGAATGAAGAAAAAAGGGACTAGAAGGTAGAAAGTACAACTAGAAGATAGAAAGTGAACATGTTTTTGGTTTGTAATGTTTTAAATTAATCTATAATATATATTGTATTTCTATAATATATCTGTATGTAATATATATATTTATAAGATCAATATAATATATAGAATTTTTAAAGACAAAGGCTGATTTCTCAGAATGTTAGTAAGAAATCATTCAAACAAGTCAAGTAACACAGCTCAAAATTATTATTTATAAAATCCCAAAATATAAAAGTCAGACAGGAAAATGAGAATAGAGAATTTTTTCACTGGTCCTACTGATAATAATTGAAGATATAGTCAAGTCAGTTAAATACTCTATTACCTGTCATACATAAATCAAATGTCTATTTAGGTTTTCTCTTTTATTTTAGTTTACATTTCCCCATGTCATGTTTTATATTGAACTAATACCTATAAGTGTAGTTATTCAGCATGCTTCCTTGAATTGAGTAGTTAAGAGAAAGATGAAAGTGGATGCCAACAAATTTATTAAAATTTTGGCCTTAAAATACTCATTTTAAAATTTTAATCAATATTTGTTATTTTTTTCCTTGAGATTCTTCCATGGAAAAATTACTAATTAATTTACCCATTGTCATTTCAAATTAATTTCTCCACCTAAAACATATTATTATAATTAGAACAAAAAGATTGGTTAGAGTTAAGGGTTAGCTGTTACATTGTCTAATAATAGAACTGTGTAAAAGATGACATTCATTCTTTGTTATCCAATTTCTGTATGCATATGCACTAGTAGGTACATGGTGTGTGTTAGTGTGGTTAGTCAGATGCAGAAATATGGTTACAATCATGTAATAAACATTTGTATGTGGAAGCTCTGCATTGGTTTTTATACAATGATATCCATTTCCATTGCCAATTGCTAAATTTTCAGTATAAAACTGCTGAATGTATAATTTAGCTTGACAAATAGTTGATCCATTCCCCCCCAAACTTTATAATTTCTAAAATTCACCTTTTTTTTTAAAAAAAAAAACAGAATTAAAAGTTCAGTTTTAAGCACCATGCCACTTAGGGTTTGAAGTTTAGCAGCATTAGAATTGCTGGACAAATAGATTTTCCATTATCTACTTTCTTCTATATTGAAATTCGACTTGCCTATGGTTCGTGAGCTAACATCTAAGAAGTGAAAATGATTTGAGGTAAAGTCTTTAATTTGACAAATGTATAGATCTTTTGAATAAAACCCTACTAGATATCACTCTTAAGTAGGATTAACTACAAGTTTCTTCATGGACATGAGGCAGGGGATTCATTAAAATGGACATTTCAAACACCCTGTCTGACAGATGAGAGTGAAATTAGAGTGGCAGCCTGAACCCTAAGCTCTCAATGAATACATGAATGGATTTGTCTATAAAGTTTAAAGATTTACAGGAAGGCACAGTGGCCAATTTCTATTTTGATGCTAAAGGGGAAGGAAAGAAGAAAGGAAATAAGAGGGTATGGGAAGGAGAAAGCAATTTATCTGATTCCTTCTCTGCATAACACTATTCACAAAAACATTTAATTCTTATTATGTCTTGTTGATTTGAGGTTACTTTCAAAAACCTTTTGTTATCTTCCCACTGTGAGCACAGTAAAATGGGTAGTGAGACAAGCAAATATGGTTTCCTGCCTTCCTGGAATTTCAGTAGATTGGGAAATCAATATGCCCATAAATAATGATTATATCTTCTATTGTTCCCATATTTTATGGTGCAACATCTCTTGCATGGGGCATGAAAATGGTCGAAAACTGTTTTGGAAAAAAAGAAGAGGAAAAACCGAAGCAAATACTGCATGAGAATGCATCCAAAATAGTTGAATGGGTGAGCATGGATGCCAATATCTTCCCTTCTTGTCATGGCAAAGGAAACTGGAAGCTCAGAATGTCAAAGGCTCACAAGTCTAACCACAGTGGGGATTTCAATAGAATCAGATGAGCTACAAGATTGCAAATTTACTAAGCCTTTCAGAGAACTCTAGAAAGCTTGGCCTTAAAAGAAGACTTCAGTTTAGTTTTCAAAACAAGTATGGCAAATTTATCCTTTCTGACAATCTTTTCTATTTTGGGATCTAAGCCAGCTAAATACACTTACGCTTGGTAGGCATAGTCAACATTTAAACCTACTTCAAATTCAAATTCAATTGCCCAATCTCTGAAATTTGGTAGTTTATCAAATTACCCTTAATTTTTCTCTGTAAGATGTTTTCACTGCTCAGTGTTTTAGAATACTATGTGTTTATTCATCTCCTTTAAAGGTTGATCTCTGTTTTGGGAAGGTGCTAACATATGTGTGTATAGTACCTTTTCAGAATAAATGAACAGGCATTCTCTATCATAATCTTCTAAAATAACATTTAGTAATTTGCATACTAGAAATATCAAATCAAAGGTCTTTGGTATACCTGAGACCTTTGAGAATTTTCTTCTGATGATAAAGTGAGAGATTTTTTTTTCATATTGAATGTTCAGAGGAGTGGATGAATTCAAATGTACTTTCAGATTGTGAAACAGCCCAAGCTATTATATAAATGTTTGGGTTGTGCTGGAAATCATATTTTTCCAAAAGGCATTGCTCCTTCCATTTTAAACTTATGTGCTCTTTAAGGGGGATTTAATTTATATGTCTCTGATTCATTTACACTTAATTCATGAAAATAACATTTGCTAAGATGCATTGGGTATGCAATCAGTTTCGTGATCTATACAGATTTAAAAATTTTTTTTTGTCTGAGTTTGGCCAAGTCACTAATTTTTTTTTCTTAATTTTCCAAATCTTGGGAACCTAAAAGACGTAGTAGGTTCAAGGCAGTAAGTATATGTGCTGTATCCTATCAAACAATTATTTTTCTAAGATTGGGATTACAGGAGAAATTGTTACCTACTAAAAAGTGAACTTTCTAGTGTTGCTAAAACAATTAAGTTATCACAAAATGACTAAAATAGTGCATTGAACAGCAGTGATTCAAAAATGTAGCGGCAAGACTCTGACATTTAGATGTAATATTTCCTTTGCTTCTTACAAACACATATAAAAAATCTAGCAGGGCAAATAAAAGAACTAGGCCATTTTTACAAAGAGGCTTGATAAAGCAACACAGATCTGACTGTTCTACTTAGAGTGGTCAAAACTCAAAGGACATATAAAACATAATATTGTTCTGGGAGCATTCTCTAGGGAAAAACAAATGCTTTTAAAATACTTGAATCAGAGGAAAAAAGATAGCTATGTAGTTCTTTAGTTCATTGGTAATTTCTCCCCTTAGATTTTTGTAAGGTTGCAAAATGATAGGTAAATGCATTTTGCCTTTTCTGAAAGGATGAGAACATTCGTGGTACAAAAATTCAAACTTTATTGTTGTTACCCAAAAGGAGTGAGGGGAACCCTTCTGTGATAAGAGCAAAGAAGTCAGCAGGATTCAATCTATGCAGTGCTTTATGAGCCATGATAAGAAATTTAGATGTGGTTTCAACTGTGTTGGAAGACCATTTTTGTATTTTAGTCAGGGGAGTGACATAGTTTGATTTGTGCTTCATAGATCACTGGGCTGCTCTATGGAGAATGGATCACAGAAAGGCAATAATAGAAAAAAGCAGGACCAGGTAGGAGTACCCAGAGTACTCCAGGAAAGAGATGGTGGTGATTTGGCCTACAGTGGTAGAAAAATAGGAGCATATTGATGTGATATACTGAAGGAGGAGTACATAGGACTTGCCGATGAATTGCAGAAAAATTAGTTGTGACTTCTTGTCTGGCTTCAGCAACTGGGAGTGTGGTGGTATCACACACTAGGAGGAATAGGTGTGGGTCTGTTTATTGAGGGTCCACAAATTTATTTTGGTTTTGCCAAGTGGCTGTGTGGCCTGTTAAGATGATCATTAGACACCCATGTGTAAATGTCAATCGAAATGTAGATAGTGATAATATGTATAGGCATTCCAAATGGATATGGTTGTTAAAAAGTTTCTTAGAAAAAAGTATCCCCACATGTACTCTCTGCTTACACCCTTTGCATGATTTTAATAAAAACCAGGACAGTTCAAGTAGAAGACATAATCTTATTTGAACGCTTCCTTAAGATACATATGCTTAAAGATTTTCTAGAATCTAGGTGAGGAAGATTAAGATCATCTACTTGATGTTTATTGTTTGTGGTGTATAGTTTTTTTGTGCTTAAATTAACTGTTCATCATTTACATGTAATTCATCCCGAAATACCGTACTCAATTAATCCTTCTGTCTGGTCAGAGTTCTTTCGGTATTATTGAGGATAAGTGCTCACTAACACTGCCACATATAAGTGGACTTATTCAAATGGTGTTTGTTTCTGAAAAAAAAGTATATGAATTACATGGCAATATAAAATATCTTTATATCTCTATAAAATATATAAACATCTCTATATAAAATTGTATATGTAGCCTATATATATAATCTGTGTATTTACACACATATATATCAATTACATCTTATATATTTCTTATGCCACTCCCCCCAACGATTTGTGAGTACTATTGTATATTCTCAGCCAATCAGTGCTTTCAGTAATTTTTTGAGTTAAGTGCAATGAGTTTTGTTCATTATTCTGGGCCTCTCCTTTTGCCATTTGCTTATGTTCTGATGAGCAGTTTTGGCTCATAAAACTTGATAAAAGTTATGGTGCTGGACCTACCACAAGATTAGCATTATATCTGTAAAAATGCAAATCTCCTGGAAACTTGTGATACATTCAAGAGATGGCTTGTTATGCAGATGAAAAGTACAGTAGGCAATAAAAAATTGGTAGACGTGTCCTGATATGAGAAAGTGCTTCATTCATATAGCTGCAGTCTGGAAAGATTTCCCAACTGTTACATGAACTACAGCTAGGAGAATCTATGACTGGGAAAAATGCAACACTTTAATGACTGTTCTATTATGACACCCTATAGAGCTGGGTTGGTTGATGTCCCCCCAAAATTGTCTAAATGTTTGTGCACCACCCCTCAAAAAAACATGTTGAAAACTGGATCACCAGTGTGATAGTATTAGGAGGTAGGGCCTTTGGGAGGTTATTAGATCTAAGGAGAACCTTTTTGAATGGGATTAGTGCCCTTATGAAAGACGACCTGCAGATCTGCCTTACCTCCTCCACCGTGTGAAGACACAATGAGAAGGTGCTATTTATGAGCCAGAAGGTGGGCCCTCACCAGACACCGAATCTGCCAATGCCTTAATCTTGGACTTTCTAGCCTCCAGAACTGTAAAAAATAAATTTCTATTGGTTAAGAGCCACCCAGTTCACGATATTTTGTTACAGCAAATCCGAAAGGGCTAAGACAGTGATATCATTTTCAGGGACATGCCCCTTGTGTGAAATGGCGTATTTATTTGCATGCGTATCTTCTGAACTGAGTGAACATCAAATGAACCAAGAGTAAGCAGACCTGGTAAATAGCTCTCTCATAGAATGGGTCTGAAAAACAGTCTTGTTAGATGTCCGGACTGCCTCATGTTACTCTTATTCAAGCAAGATAATGTGTCAAAGGAGCAGTGCTCAATTTATTTTTATTCCATTGTATTGAAACACAAGTTTAATATTTACTTATGTAACACTTTTTGATGTGGTGTTTCCAATGTTCTAGCTAAAACTCTCTCACATTTTTTTCTACTCATGAAATGTATATGAGAATGCAAGTGCATAATAATAAAAATATTATACAGGTTTTTTCATTGCAATAGCTTATATTACAAGTGTGCCATTCACAAACTTTGATTCTTTGTAATTAATGATTAATTGCATTGAACACATCTCACAGTTAATGGCTGTATTGATGAGTGGTTCTGAAAATCTAAGCATGCAAATCCACACTTTAACCATCCAATATGTGACATCTCCATCCAGAGACAATTCAGTTCTAATACTGAACATTTCACAATTCACTCTCCTTAGACCCACAGTGCAAATGCATACTTTAATTTGAGGTATGGGAATTCAAATTAACTTGGGCAAATTTTTATTTACCATCTAGATACAAAGCTGAATGTTGAATTCTTGCTTCTTGTTAGCCAATTTTCCCAAGTTCTTAGAAACTAGATGGAATAAATCCAGAACTTTCTCAATCCAGTATTTACGAATCTTTGTATTTAAGATGTATGCCACTTTATCACATCAAACAAACTTCCCTTACTTCAGGTTTTTAAATATATTGTCTTTTTTTCTACACCAGTGCCTCGACTTAGCTTTTCAATTTTATCACTGATATGTCTTTTATTTTAAATGGCCTCAGGTTCAATTTTAAAAGCAAATAGGTGGTAGATACAACAATTGATTTATTATTTAATAAAAAGATTTCACTTTAACCGATATGATGGTTTGGCTATTTGAATATAGTATCTTATATCCACGTTAAAATTTATACAGACTTTTCTACTCTGGATGCTTATTTCTTGATTCCTGAAGCTAATTGGTCAATACAAAGAAATAAAAGACACACTTGGAATATTTAAAGCAATTTTTTTACATGTGAGCTGTTTGAAATTTGGAAGTAATCATTGGGGGATATATCATTATTTCCAATACATAGAACAGAGATGAGGCTTCAAGAGGTTAAGTGACATGACTAAGCAATAAAGACAAAGACAGAGATCAAATTCCAGGATTTCTGGCTCCAAATTCAGGACTCTTTCTCTGACATCAAGACGCAGAGCTCGTCAATGGGCACACCTTTATGAATATTTCATTACTGTTAGGCTAAGTCTGTAGTAAAGATCATCAAGAGGAGGGCATTATTACCTGTTGAGTAATTGGGATCTTTTTCTCAATCATCTGTTTCATCCAAGGAAATTTTAGCCACAAAAATTTAATTTTGAAATGACTTGGTTTAATCTTGTATTTCCAAAGAAACATATGTCCCTCAGAAATCTCGTGGTCAGTGTTTGTCTTCTAATCAGGAGTTGTACCAATGTTGCATAAAACAACTCTTTCTTTATGTGAATGCTTGACAGGAAGGATCTTGTGCTAGCACTTGGACAGGTGGAAAAAGGCTACTGGGATTCAATAGCTACCTCTGCCATCAATTTCCAGGTGTGTGTGTGTGCGTGCATGTATATGTATTTGTGTGTTTTTGTGTGTCCTGGGTATGATGGCTTCATATTTGCTTTTTCTGAATAAATATCAGTCCTTTAATTTCAAATAATTATCCATAACAAATGTAAATGACAGGATTTTGAGACTACTTCTGACCCTCAGATTTCCTCCATAGATAACTAATATTCTCTAAATCAATGATTCCTTTCCCCACCATGTTTCTTTTACACACCTAATGCAACTTAGTAAAATTATAAGTAAAAAAATTAAAACAGCACTGAAAATATATTATAATAATGTAAAACTCTCTCCCCACAATGCTATTCTCTCTATATAACCATTTAAATATTTTGTTTTTCCTATAAAATATACCTATATTTATGCAAGAATGGATGTATATTTCTTTTATAACACTAGGGGTTAAAATGTATAATGAATATGCTTTTTTAACAATATGTTAACTACTTTATTACATTTAAATCTACCTCTATGTTTTTAACAGCAGCAGAGTATCTCATTATATAAAGGTACACAATTTATTTTACTAGTCCTTAAATGTTTACATAATTTATAATGGCAGAAAGACACTGGAGTAGAAGTGTTTCATACACAGTGGTTCAATTAGCATCCTTTTATTTAAATGTATTGTCACGGCTGGGTGTGGTAGCTCATGCCTGTAATCCCAGCACTTTGGAAGATCAAGGTGGGCGAATCATGAGGTCAAGAGATTGAGACCATCCTGGCCAACATGGTGAAACCCCCTCTCTACTAAAAATACAAAAACTACCTGGTCGTGGGGGCGCGCAACTGTGGTCCCAGCTACTGGGGAGGCTGAGGCAGGAGAACCACTTGAACCCTGGGGGCAGAGGTTACAGTGAGCTGAGATCCTGCCACTGCACTCCAGCCTGGCAACAGAGTGAGACTGTGTCTCAAAAAAAAAAAAATATATATATATATATATATATATATGTATGTATATATATATATAATCTCACCTGGCCCCTAAATGTATCTTTGTAATCTTGTGATAGTATTTTTACAGGACACATTTTTAAAGTTTGAATTTTTTAATCAAAAGTAGATTCTTTAACTTTGATAACTGTGATTCAATTGCTTTCCTAAGAAGTTTCATCATAATATGCACCATATTAAGAGCATGAGAATATCTAGCCAATCACTAAGAATAATAAAACCTTGAAAATAATTGAAATACAGTAGATTTAAAATGAAATCTTACATTTGTTCAAATTTGCATTATTTTAATCATCAGAGTTTGATGATATTTTTACTGTTCATTGGCCCCTTATATTTCTTTTGCTATAAACTGCCTTTAATTGTATTTGCCCAATTTTGGTTGTTGATTTCTGTATATTTTAAATAACTTTTTGTGTATGAATATAATTGGCCTTTTGCTATATGCATTGCAGTTTTTTTCCTGGTTTGTCATTTAAAATATTTTCATAGTGTTTCTCACCATATGGAATGCAGCTTTTAGGTTGGGTGCGGTGGCTCACGCCTGTAATCCCAGAACTTTGGGAGGCTGAGGAGGGTGGATCATGAGGTCAGGAGATCGAGACCGTCCTGGCTAACATGGCAAAACCCCGTCTCTACTAAAAATACAAAAAACTAGCCAGGCATGGGGGTGGGCGCCTGTAGTCCCTCCTACTCGGGAGGCTGAGGCAGGAGAATGGCATGAACCCGGGAGGCAGAGCTTGCAGTGGGCCAAGATTGCACCACTGCACTCCAGCCTGGGTGACAGAGCGAGACTCTGTCTCAAAAAAAAAAAAAAAAAAAAAAAAAAAAAAAAAAAAGAATGCAGCTTTTAAAAGAATCATATAAGATTTAGCAGCTTTTTCTTTATGTCTTTAAGGTTATGTGCCCTACTTGGGGTGGGGGGTGGTTCTGTTTTCCAAGATTATATTTTTAGAAATAACTTATGTTACTTCTAGTAATGTAATGGCTTACTTTTTTAAAAAACAAAGTGTCAGTATTTGGAACCTCTGCTCCATTTGCACTACGGAAAAATTATATCACTAGCTAGCATACTTTTCTTAAAATAGGCAGCTTGAGACTTTTACCACGTATTAAATCTGGAAACAGGGGTTCACAGACTTTAGAGATAATAATCAGATTTTAGCCCTAGAAAATGCTTTAAAGATCATCTAGTATAATATTCTCATTTTCCAGATGGGGAAATGGAAATGAATGTGAAGAAGGCTAGAGTAGTAAAATATCTTACTGAAGGCCCCACAGTGTTCATGCCAGAAGAGACACCTCCTCATCCCATGCTGGTAATGCATTCATGCTCATTCAGAGGAATGAATGCCCTTATTCCATTCATTCCTCTCCTTCACCATCACTTAGTGAGCAAATCTTGTGCTGGGCATCACATGATTCTAGTTGGTCTCGTTTATTGATCATACTGTTTAATTTAAGAGGATAAAATATACTTCATATTTTTAAAGGATTTATGGGGGAATAAGTTGGGGGACCCAGCATATCCCAAATGCCAGGTTGCACACATTTTATTTCTTGCCTAGATTCAGAATATTGCCACTGGTTATTATAAAGCCCAAGTGTTATTTATTACAATATTCCTGAATGTGAAACCAACCTGATTTCCTTGTGGCTTATTTATTTATTAAACCATTGTAAGAAGATTGAAGAGAGGAAGGTAAAGGGTTGAGAACCCTGTCCAGTGCCTTCAGCAACCTGGCAGCATCTTAAATGAGCAATGTATTTTCAGCATGATTCTGTTGTCTCACTGGGTTATGGTGTCAATGAAATGATGCTTTAAGAGGGAATTGATATTTAATGAGATGTAAAATACAGAGCTGTTTTCTATCAGGCAGACATCCTCTCTCCCCATTTTGTTCTCATAAGTACAGATAGATATAACTATTGGCTGCATGATCTATCTTAGGGCAGCCCTTGAAAAGACTAGGTCTGCTTCTTCGGGGACACACTTCCTTCATAGACACTAAGGATTCATGGAGCCACCTCTCTGAAGTAGTTTCTTGGGACTCAGTATTTAAACTCATGAACAGCATGCAAGTAATTCTTAACAGCGATTATTGTTTTTAAGGGAACCACATGGCCACCTCCCCTAACAACTTTTCTAGCTCCACAGTACTGTCTCAGGCTGTTTAAAAAATGACAATGGATATAAATAGTAATCTAATTATAGTTAGAAGAGATTTACAGCTCTAATTACGACTGCTGTTACATTTTAAAGGGACTGACATAAGCAATCAACACATCCCATACAAGAATCCATCTTGCTATTATAAAAGCTACCTGCCAATTGTTTGTCAGTTGAATAACACACAACACTGCACACATTATCTCCAGAATTAGTGATACCGACAGTTTTGCCATGTTTAATATATGTAAGCAGTATAATGCAAAGAAAGGCATGGAGCTTAGGAATTGCTCAATTAGGGACTGCTGCCTTGTCAATATATGCATGTTTGTCAAGTATGTTATCATCTCACTCTCAATGATTTTTTTATGTAGCTCAATCAACTACATATTCATAGAACTTCTCTATGATAAAAGTGGGAAACACAATCTCTTTGTTAGACATTTATGTAAACATATATTTATTATATATTATATATTATGTAACATTTACTGGATATTTGCTGTGTGTCAGGGTAGAAATTTTATAATAGTCTCATTTGAGACTTAAAACAATTCTTTAGCATTATTCTATTGAATTTATTCTTTTGGATGATTTGTGGTATGTAACACATATTACAAATTGTTTGAGATGGGACAGACTTGTGGTTTTTAAAGGGTTTGTTGATCATTTCTACAGGTTGAGGAAAATTGTTCAAATAAAATCCCAGCTCCTACCTTCATCATCCTTCTACAGCTGGGCACACTGATTTCCACCTCCGAGGCCTCAACCTTACTCTTGATTTCTGAACAATCAAGACAGGGCATGTTTAATTCATCCCAGGCCAGTGGTCTAATGGGACTGAGACTTCATATTTACCATGCTCTGAGATCTAGAATTTGCGAGTCCTAATGTCAACCATCCAGCATCCAATAATGTTCTGTTTGCCAGGCCTGACTACTTGTTAGGGCTCCTTCCCACTGCAGATCCTTGTCAGGGACAAGAAATGTGTTAATAAGTTGCCCACCAGGAGGAGGCCCTGCTGTCTTGTGTTCAGATGGTGACTTCTCATAACATGAGCCATGCATACCACCCACTACAGGTATTTTACCAATCCATTCTTCCAGCTCGTTAGAACCCAACCTGCTGCCTTCTGGCCTAAGTATGAGTGAATCATACTTTGTATCAGAGTTGACAAACAGATAGCATGAACCGTGTGGGCATAGCAACTGCTAAAATAATACATTACTTCCCACTAGTTGGTCAATAGTTGCTGATCCCATACTTCCCCTCACTCCCAATGTTCCTCCCTTCCCTCCTCTATCTTGGCTCTCTTTCGAGACTCCCAGACATACATATTATTCAGCAACCGAAGGGTAGTCCCCCAGCACATCAACAGACATCTGGCAGCCCACTCCTATGATAGCCAGTATCCTTTGTGCTTGGTTGGTGAGTGTACCTGTTGTACTGTGTCTGTTAATGTTCATATTAATGTAACATTACTTCTGATGTTTACCTTGCTGTTTTGCCTTTGACTTAGACAAATAACAAATAAACTGCCCTCTATTTTAGGCTATAGGTCCAGTTTTCTGCCAATTCCTCACTTTTTTTTCCTCCTAATGTTCTCCCTGAGAAGTTAGTCTACCGTCTCACAGACCCTACTCCACAAATGATGGATTGATATTTTC
Organism: Homo sapiens; assembly: GCF_000001405.40. NCBI lineage: Eukaryota > Metazoa > Chordata > Mammalia > Primates > Hominidae > Homo > Homo sapiens. Next base: position 22,499,133 of record NC_000006.12, read on the forward strand.
ATTTTTAAGTACTTTTACTTTTTTTAATCATGCAACTATGAACACCACCACTTTTTAGTCAATAAAAACAGAATAAAGAGACACTACACTTGCAAAATGAAGAAATTTGAAAGTAAGAATTTGCCAATGATAGTTTAACTAGATTGTAGGTCAAGGCAGTTGGTCACATCTCTGATTCAGTGACATTAGGAAGACATAATTACAGCAAGATGGCTGCATTCATGCCAACGTGAATAGTTTCTTTCTTGAGATAACTGATCCCAAAGGATGGCAGGAATCATTTCCTTCTGTGTTCTGTGGGCATTTGTTTTGTCAGAACATAACATACATACATAACATACATACATACATAACATACATAAATCCTGTTTTATAAATGGTATGCTGTGCTTTAAATACAGCCCAGTATGTCATTCTGTCAGCGATTAGCAATAGCAAACTGTTTTGTTGATTGATTCATTATTCTTAGCACCCAATTGAAAAAAATTATTACCAAATTTATGAAGAAAATTTTTCTTTAAAATAGTTTATGCCACAATAATAATACAGGCATTTTTATTTTTTACATGTTAAAAGTGCGACTAAGCCACTAACTTGTCTTTCTCATCACCCTGAGAATTCCTTACAGCATTAATGAGGTATTAGATGGCTTTGTAAATGATGATTGGTTACAATAATGTGAAATTTGTGTGATAGCCTGAGTAGCTTTTTTAATAGTACTTGGTATTTTTCAGGAAGCTCTGCAACCTAACTTTACATCACCTCAAATTTCTTGTTTTTCCTTTCATATCCATTCATCTTTATTTTAAAGTGTCTAAATGCCCTTGCTAAATTAAGAACACATGGCTTTGACAAACCCAGTAATTGTGCTCACTATGCAGAAGACTAAACTCAAAGATTACATCTAAATGGCACCACTGCATCAGAAACAGAATTAAGTCTACATCATCATTGGATATTTGACCTTTATGTTTTTGGCAGCAAATGACTTGGTTTTCTGGTTCTTGAAAATTAAAATAGGTAGTCCATTCTCAGGTTTTGTCTGGCCAATTTCTTTAGGAATCCATAGTTTTAATTTACTGAGCTGAAACGGTATACCCTTACCTTATTTATGGATTCCTAGTCAAGATTTTTGTCACTACATCTTTTAAACTCTAGGCTAATTATCATGAATTCAAAAATCTGAGTTTTCCTGTTTGTTACATTTTGACTTGACTTTTTCTCTTTTTGATCTCAGAACTCTTTCCTTTCAACTCAGTCTAAGACACACTATGAGCCTGTTGTGTTATTTTCTGTTCTAAGAAGCCAGATAAAGACAGAAATTTGATCTCTTTGTGTGACAAGGCATGGAGTTCCCTTTTTATCTTTTATAGTTTAGGCAGTCATCCTCTGATGTTGGGTAAATCTTAATATGGATTGAATGGGTTCCCATTTTAGCTGTTTGGTTTCAACCGTATGCAATCAAAGAAGAAAATCTCCAGAACAGATTATCTAGAAGGACCTGTTTAACTTACAATTTTTCTGTTAATTTTCCAGAGGAGCTTACCCCCATACCTCTTTCTTCCAAAGAAGGGATTAGAAGACAAATGCATTGTTAGCTCTTAGGCATTAAAGCCATTAGTAGCCAGAATCAACCTTTTCATAAAATTTAAGATGCAGAAAGAAAATTATGTCATTTAGATTGTGGAGTCTACACTAACAATAACAAAAACAACAATTTTGTCTTGCAGTTTTAAAATTTGTGACTAGGAAAGAATGCAGTTCTCACAAATGTCCTGAAGAAAGCACTAAAGCTAAGTCAATATAATTCGCTGGAGAACACTTGGCACTAAATAAAAAGGTTAAGGCATTGGACAATAACCCAAAAAGAAGTAAGTTGAGAATCCTACGCCCAGCAGAACACACTGCTATGACACAAAGTGCCAGTTGAGTTGAAAATAAAATTGAATCTGTATTAGAGACAAATTTTATACATTTTAAAAACATTTGTACAATTTCTGGGCCTATGTGAAAAGTCTAGGTATGGATTTCTTGTACTTTCATGGTGTTTTCAAAGTATCTTTGTGAGAAAGACAGAGTTTTTAAATAAAAGTCTAATGAATGAAAACTTTTAAAGTGGAAGCAGTTGATATATTCTTGGACTAAATCTCCACGACTCATAGACCTGGACATTTGAAAAAATTCTCTGTTGTCAGAAGAAGTCAATTTTTGTCCTGTTTAGAGTCTAACTCCATAGAGTTTTCCCATCACAGATATCTCTGATTACAAAGTATCCCCTAGGTTATAAGACCCAAGTCATATGACCAGGGATGCATTTGAGGCTGGTCTTCCTACGGAGCTCCTTCCAGACCCTCACAGATGACAGCCTCCAATGTCACTCAGTATGTTGGAATAATATTCCCAGTTGTGGAGTAGGATTCTGCTAGAATCTAAAGAGGCCTACTAGGTGGTGTGCTTCCTTCTTTATAGTGGGAGGTGCAACATGCAAGAATTTGTCCTTGATATTGGCTTACTTGCAGATTGCTGGGTTCCTAAGAATTTCATGGATAGAGCAAGGCCTGAAATCTTCATCAAGGTTATGAGCATTCCATGTTTTCACCTAGAAGAAAAAAACAGACTTTCTAAATCATACCCCAGGAAATAGCCTTGGAAATCATTGAAATCTTGTTACTTTCTCAGAAGAGCCAAGGGATGGTAACATAAGATAATATGAATGGCAAGGCATAAGAAGGAAGTTTGAGAGGAAGCATTGTTATGAAACAGGTTTCATAAACAACCAGATTCTCTTCTGAGCTTTATTATAGTGACTTTAAGGACCTTGGTCTTTTGAGAACATTATAGTGGCTGTCAGTCATTGTTTTGATCTTGGTTTCTATGACTTTTGGTTGAATTCTCTTCTTTTTCACCTCCATTTCCCTTTGAACAACATTCACTTATTTAGCAAATATTTATTAAACACCTGTTTTGTGCCAGGCCTTGTTCTAGGTTCTGAGAATATAGCAGTGAACATAAAGGCAACATGCTTGCCCTCATGAAGCTCAAGTCTTAGTGGGGATAAACAACAATTTTCTCTATCTATCTATCTATTTATCTATCTATCATCTATCATCTATGAAAACAGTTTATACGTGAACAGTGAGAGAAGAAACTATGCAGATTTTCTGGAAAAAGAATGATTCAGGCAAAGAGAACAGCAAATGCAAACTTCTTGATGTAGGAATATGCTTGCCATATTCCAGGAAGCACAAGTATGCAGTGTGACTAGAGTGACTAGAACAAGGGGGAGAGTATTAAGAGACGTCAGCTAGTAAGAAGAGACCAAATCTTGAAAGACCTTGATGGCTATGCTATACTTAGCTATGCAATGACTTAGGCTATACTATATTTGGACCTAAATAGAAACCCATTGGACAGTTTTCTGCAACGTAGTAACATGCTCTGATTTACATTTCAAAATAATCCCTTTGGCTGCTGTGTTGGTAATAGGTACCAATTTCTGATACATAAATGTAGGTTGGGGGCTATCATAATAATCAATGAGAATATGGATGCTGCCTCAGACTAGAGTGGTGCAGGTACTTATTAGAAGGGCTCTGGATTTATTTTGGATTCATTTTGGTTCTGGATATGTAGAATTTTCTAATTAATTATACATGAGGTATGAAGGTAAACGGTCAAAAATGATTTTGTTGTTTCTGGGCTGAGCTACTGAAGGTATAGATGTAACAAATGGGGAAAGACATAAAGAATTTGTAGGATTAATGTGTTGAAGGTATTGTTGATGTCAAAGTATGTTGGAGTTGGGATAGTAAAAGATGTGAGCTATAAAGTTAGGAGATGGTGATCACATAGTGGGATACATGACATGGATTTTATGGGTGTTTAGAGATTAAATGAATTATTATTTATTCAGTTTAAATGGGTGAATAATTGAGTTTGATTTTAAGAAGGAATGGCTGATGCTATGTGAAGGACAAGTTCTTTTGGAGGAGATGAAGTCAAGGACACAGCCAAATAATTTGAAGTTTCTTCTATGCATATAAGGAAATTAACATGAATGTTGGCAGGGGTAGTGTTGAAGAGAATGGCAGTGGCCCAACACCAAATATTTACAAGGAATGAGGAGAGTAGATGATTGCAAAAAGTAGGACTGTTGTGAAATTCAAAGCTGGGGTTTTAGGAAGAAGGAAGGATGATCTCTATGTGGCAATGCATGGCAAAAGGTACATAAGACCTAGTGATATAAGAGCCATGATAGAAATAACAGCCATCTTTTGAGGATGCTGCCTGGGAGGCTGTGTTTTAGGTAGGACTTCGTTTTGAGAGTTAGGTTTGGGTAGAGTAAAAAGGTGACATTCAGAGAAACAGCTGAGCATATGAGGCGTTTTGCTGATGATGTGTGCCATGTTCCAAAGGGCACGGTGGAAAGTTTCAAGAGTCAGGGAGAAGATGGAATCAGAAAGGTATGTAAAAAGCCATGAAGCACTTAGTATTGGGGGATGAAGAATGACCCGGGAGTCCTGAGCTTCCTGTGACTGCCATGAATAGGCATCAAAGTCACAATGGTCCCAAGGAATATAACAATGAAATTGTAGGCATTTGAGGGGAGAAACAAGTGAAATCTTGGCAGAGCATGTAGAGATCTGGAGTTTCCATTAATACAGGATTGTGGCCAGTAGAAGGTGGGGGTAAGTTTGATAGATCTGTTATAACATCTTTCTTTCATATATATATATAGAGAGAGAGAGTTCAGAGAGAAAATAGGATCAATACTAATATTACAGACACAAAATAATGAAGCTCCATACCATTTCTCTCTATTGACATAAGACTTTCACATCATTGTCAGGTTAATCTTTCTAAAATGGATTTCTTCATGTCTTTTTCTTGTTAAGTCTTCATTAATATCTTACTTTTACCTGTATAATATTCCTTATCCCCTAACTTGGCATTTAAAACTTTTTCTAAAATGTCTTATACCTACTCTTTTTTTCTTATTCTTTTGGTATGCTCATTTATTATTTACCTATATTTATTAAGCACGTATTTGGTGCAGACTCTGGGAATACAAATGGTGAATATTCATTGCCCAGCCCTCTGGATTGTCTTTTATTAAATAGTTGCCTTATTTCTCTATATGACACTGTACTTGAGACTACTATTCCTGCCCTCCTCCTTTCTGCTGCCTGCTGAAGAAACGGGCGTTTCTCTGCCAGAACACCTCCTTTCCTCGGTATGTATCTATGATTTACTTATGATTTCATGGCCCAGTCGATTTCAGCCTCCTTTTCCAGTGAGTGTTCCAAACACAGGAATATCTTCCTTTCTGAACATATACTGTTTTTGTCACTAGAACAAAGCCTAACCCCAAGTACTTGCTCACTAAATATTTGTCGTTGAATGGCTAGCACGTGTTAATGCACTATAGAATGTGATCTAGAAAAATCAAGCCAACCATAGTGTGTCTTTTCATTCATTCAAAACTCATCTATTGAGAAACTATTTTGTGCCAGATATTGTCTTTGCCGTGTGGGTTCTTTTAAAGTAAGGTGTCTTCTGCCTCTTGTTCTTGACAAACATCTCTTTCAAAAGCCAAAATTCATTTTTAGTGAGAAGTAAAATTGACATTATTCCTCCAACTAACATAATTAAGATATGTTTAACATTTGCACAGCAACAGATTTCCATTTGGAAATGGAAATGTCCATTTCTATTATTTTAAAATGTTCTGTATTAGTTACCTATTGCTGCTCTAACACGTTACCACAAACTTAAAACCACACAAATAATAATTTTATAGTTCTGTAGTCCAGAAATCTACAATGGGTCCCTGTGGGCTAAAATGAAGGTGTCAGCAGGCCTTTCTAAAGACCATAAAGAAGAAACCATTTTTGTAATCCTAGCACTTTGGGAGGCCAAGGCGGGCAGATCATGAGGTTAAGAGATTGAGACCATCCTGGCTAACATGGTGAAACCTCATCTCTACTAAAAATACAAAAAATTAGCTGGGCATGGTGGCACACACCTGTAGACCCAGCTACTTAGGAGGCTGAGGCAGGAGAGTCACTTGAACGTGGGAGACGGAGGTTGCAGTGAGCCGAGATTGTGCCACTGTACTATAGCCTGGAGATAGTGAGACTCCTTCTCAAAAAAAAAAAAAAAGAGAGAGAGAGAGAAGAAATCATTTTATCGCCTTTTCCAGCTTCTAGAAATTGCACTTTCCTTGGATTATGGTCCCTTTCCATGTTCTACCTCTCTCTATCATATTTAAGGAGGTTGTGATTATGTTGGCCCCACCAGGATAATCCAGAATGACTTCCCCATCTTAAGATCAGAGAATTAGCAATCTTAATTTCATTGCAGCCTTAACTCCTCTTTGCCATATAACCTAAAACTTTCACGAGTTTCAAGCATAAGAAAATGGGCATCTTTGACAGCCATTATTCTTCCTATGGCATGCCCTTAAGAAAGTGATGCATCAGATGTTATCACCACAGAAGTGTCCAGGCTTCTAAAGGTTTGACACTATGCTGCTTATCCATCAACCTTGATGCCTCTGCATTCAGAGGTAGAGGTGCAGGTTAAAAGATCCCAACAGCCAGCTTTCACTCAGAATCATCGTGGACTGAGAGTAATTTAGACATTTGCAAGCCTTGTACAGAGACATCTACAGCACTATCATAAATATGATATTTTGTCTAGATGGAAGAACTTAATAGAATTAAGCAGAAGGAATGGTTGAAGGAATTATTCTTAAGGAAGAAAGTGATGAACTTGGCAGCAAGACAGGTTGTGTTTTGGTTTGCTTACTGGGAATAATTTATGCCCTCTTAATAAAAAAATAATGGTGATTATATTCAGATGAGTGGAATTGGTGTTTATTTGAAATTAAGCATGCTACCATGTTACTATAGATGACATCACACATGATTGTAACTTGCCTCATCTGCCCAAACTGTAATGGATACTGTGCAGGTTTCAGAAGAGGGTTTGTGTTGGCTGGCTTCCGCAGGCCTTCGGCCATGTGTGCCCGAGGAGAAAAGGTTTAAACAAGAGGAAAAGAAAATGCATTAGAAGACTGAGATGAAGGGAGCACGTGGGTCAGGAACACTAACTTCATGTAAGCAATATTACAAGGCAGACAATTGTTGGTACTTTTTTAATTAAATGAAATTGATCTCCAGAGACAAGGATAGTTGGAGAGTTCTAATAAAACAGAAATTGGATGTCTAATATGCACATCAAGATGAAAATCTACTAAGTGTACTCGATATAGAATTGGCTAGAATTTGCTCAAAAATTAATTCCATGTTAATTATTAAAATTAAAAACCATGTGTAAAGTCATTTGGAAGTTCTGTGGCCAGCTTATCTAGCGATGATCGAACCTATTCCGTTCTTTCCTAATAGAGGTACATGTTAAGAATGGGGAAGCTTTTCTCCTATCAGTATTTTTATCATGCCAGAAAATATAAAGTTATACACACACATAAAATTTTCACTGCAACTTTATTTCCTTTGGCTTTTTTCCTTGCAGACGTTTCCCTCCACGTTTCTTTCCAAAATCCCATTTACAGGATCATTTTTCCAATCCACACGAAAAGCTTAACTGTACAGAATGTCTTACTTTTTTTCTTGCTTAAGACTTTATGCATTAGATGTTCATCGAATGTTGAGAAAATAGGTGTTGTTTAATTATATAATTCTCTTTCACACTTGTGGCTGCACTTAGTGCTTATATTGAAAGTATGCTCTCGGAAAATATATTTTAGCATTTCCAAGATTATTGACTTTTATTTCATTTTGGAAAACATAGGTTAATTTTTAAAAAAGTGGTCTTATGAAATTGAAATACAGATTTAAATTTTGTAAGGAAACCCTCTGTAACTCAGTTTGGTGAGTTGATGTATTCATTTTTACCAGCTTGGACACAGTTTGACCCATTCTCCTTGCCCCTGGCAGCAGTTCCAGGTTTCATGAAGCCGATTGTGATCTTAACACGTTGTTCTTATTTCTGACAGCATTTTTACTTTTAACATTTTCAAGAGCACATTCTTTTCCCTGTGCTATTGAATCTAGTCCTGTGAGGAATGGAGATACTTGCTTACCACCTGGATTTTGTTCCTTAATGACAGGCCCATAAAAATGTAGAACTGGAGGAAAATCATTGAGTCTGCAGAATTCTGGAAGATCACTGAGACTCACCATCAGTCCTTACCTTACCTCCCTCTGGGATGAGAAAGGGCTGTTGTAGACATGTGTTCCAGCATAACGTTGCCCAGCTATGGGGGAAGAAAGGAGTTTTCTCTCTTGGAAGCCACATAGAGGTGCATGGGGGAAAGCCACCTGGATTTTTGCTGGTTACATTTCTATCCTAAGCTTCAAGGTGCATATCTTTTTCCTTCCATAGGAATGCAGCCTCCTCTTCCTTTTTATTTTATTTGACTAAAAATTGAACACAGCTATGTTTTCTATGTAGTGCCAAACATCTTGGTGTTTATAAGTGTCTAGATAATTGATTTTTAGCGTGTATTCATACATTTTGAGTTATGCCAGTGGTCCACTGCCTCCTTTCAGGAGGAAAGGAGGCCACTTTACTGACATGCTCATGCAGAAACATTACAATACATACTGGAGTTAGTATATATTGCAAATAGCATAATATTATAAATATGATATTCCAACTTTTGGTCAAGGTGGTATGAATTTTCACACAGCCTTTTTGTGCCAAACTGTTATCAAAAGGAGATACAATACGAAATGAGAAAATTAAATAAATATAGTCAGGCTTTAAAAACAATAGTATCTTCACAGACTTCACAGTGAAATGGAAATGCAACCCTATGAGGATTTGAAGGGAGGGGCCTGCTGGAGTCTGGGTCCACAGGTAGGCAATGGCCCTGGAGTGTTCAGCTCCTATGGAGGCTGAAAGTGCTCAAAGACAAGGGACCATCCCACATCTGGAAGCCAGGTCTGAATAAGGGCTCTGGATCCCAAAGGGCACCGTATCGACCACCCCACATTGATATAAAAGGCTGGAATAAAGTGCTGCCAAGCTGTGGGTCTGTGGCTGTAGATAATATAGCTGGCCTAGATGACCCAGAACTAAGAGAGGTCAACAGCTGATTTGGTAATCTGTCCTGTAATAGCCTCAGTCTCACTGCAAGGCAGGGGCCTTAACCTGCCATTATAAAACCTACATTTGGAATGGAGTCAAAAGGTGAGGATGGGCAGAAATGATTAAAAAGAACAACAGCAGCAACAACAAAACATCAAGAATTCAGCAAGAAGAGAAAATAAACCAGAGGAAGGACATAGAAGACTGGGAAAACTGAAATAGAAGGTTTAATCTTACAAGCTTGACCCATTAGGTAAGTGGAACTCACAAGTCTCAATCAAATTGTGTGTGTGTGTGTGTAGTGTATATATACACACTATATATATACACATACACAATTATATATATATAATATATATATATAATTTTAAAGTCTGCATGGAATATTTGCAAATATTTGCCACATACTAAATTACAAAAAATGTCTCTACAAATTGCAGTAGGTTTCATGCAGTGTAATTCTGTAAATTTCACAATAAAGATTTTTTTCATCCTTCTGCTTTACTGAATAAGTTGTCTTGTGAGGCTCTTGTTTCTTGTGCCTAAGAGATCACTGAAAGCTGTTATAAAGGATATATCCAATTATTAAAAGTATTAGAGAGGGTTGACCGGTGGTGAGACCTGAGGCAGGGAGATCCACTTAGGAAGCTGTTGAATTAATGCAATTCCAGTCAAAGAGGGTTTATCACAGGTACGATGGGAGAAAGGTAGCTTTGTGTAGCAGCTGAAAGGCAGTAGGCATTGAACCACACAAACCTGTGTTTTCTTGGAATTTCATCAACCTTTTACTAAGCCTTTCTGAGCCTCATTTGTCTAATGTGTAGAATGAGGATAACTGATCCTGCTTTGCCGGCTAGTTATGAGGACCAGAGATAATCTGTGTAAACATCTTTGCAGTTTCTGGCACAAAATTACTCCACAGCAAATGTTAGAGTAGTAGGTCGTAGGGAGTTAAAGTTAGGAGGCATATGTACGATGCTTCTGTGTGAAAAATAGAATAAAAATTGTTTGGTAATTGACTCTGTTTTTGAGTCACAAACGATTAAAAGACAGTCCCAAGAGGTTCAGGAAGCCAATATTTGAATAAAATATTTGAATCAAAATTGAACACCAATATGTTTTCTACGTAGTGTCAAACATCTAGGTGTTTATAAATGTCTAGATAATTAACTGATTTTTTTCATATTTGATTCACACATTTGGAGTCATGTCAACACAACCTACGAATCAACCCAGCAGTTGTATGAGTCCTATTTTGACCACAATAATGATTTTTTTTACAAGATATAAAAATAAATACAATACATTGAAAATTTAAAATCTAAGTATTTATTTAAGGTTTCACCATTTTCAAATTGTACTCAGTGCACAAATTCAGCCTCAGGTCCTTTTATAATTGGCACATGCACTTTTCCCTGAATCCAATGTAAATTTAGCTAAAATGTAACTCATTTCACTAGTAATAAAATAGGGCTTTGTCTGAAGTCCAATCTCTATGTTATTTTCTATGTTTTAAGTACATCATAAAATAAAATTATGAATACCTTTAAACACTAGTCACTTTTTAAATCAAAAATAAAAGAATGAAAGATCTTGATATTTCACATCCTTTTCTTATTGAAATAACTTTATGACTTATCTGACTTGTGCATGGGCCAGAACAGGGATCATAAAAATTATTGTTAATTGGAAACCATGAGAGGAAAAAATATATAAAATATAAACCATGAACAGATAGCACAAAATGTATAAGATATGGAACAAATAAAAATATATCCATTTTAAAAATCATGCATTGCTATTTAAGCAGGAACACCAAAAGAAAGTGGAAAACAAATCAACAAATGAAATAAGAAAGTAAACAAAATCGATGGGAAGAAAGGTTTGGAAGAAAGATGTAATGAAACACAATGTGAAATAACAGAAATTTGTAACCCTTATAAAGAGACATGCAGAGATACAATTAGGCATACTCTTCTTGGGAGGTAATGTGATAAGTCCCATATATACTTTCTTCCTCACTTAAATATTGCCTTATCTGTACGTATCAATCACCATGCTTTCTAGATACAGAGGGGATGATGTCTTTTTTCCATTTTGGGAAATTCCAATTGACTTCTTGTTTCAATCATGTCACCTTCCTTCTGTTTATGAATGACTCCAAAAACATTTATTCTCACATCTCCAGTGTATCTCCCAGAAATCGAACTTATGATATACATTTGTGCCCTGGAAGCTGTCATCTATACTGTTTTGCTTTTTTTGTACTACAAAATGTCTTCAATGAGCCTAATCCATCTGCTGCTTCAATTTCCTTGACATCTGGTCACTTTAAAATTCTGCCACTCTCATGAAACTTAATTCTTGCTCAAAGATAAGAATCCAAACAACCAATGCAGTGGCCTTTTAAAAGTCTTCCCTTTGTCTTTGCTCTTTAAATAATATAAATATCTCTCTTCTTGTTTAAGATCTCATCTAGGTTTTACAAAACCACACAATCCTAGTTCTCTACCTAACCACTCAGACCATTCTTTCTTTGCCTCCTTCAAAGATTTATTTCCTCATTCCACCCTGCCTTCCCATCTATATACAGTGAAATCAGTGGTGTCACCCTGCCTTCCCATCTATATACAGTGATATAGATGAACTCTCTATAGTTAAGTGGATATTAAGAAAGAAAAGTCATATTTCTCAAAAAGTTTTTTTTTTTTTTTTTTGAGACAAACTCTCGCTCTGTCTCCCAGGTTGGAGTGGAATGGCACGATCTCGGCTCACTGCAGCCTCCACCTCCTGGGTTCAAGTGATTCTCCTGCCTCAGCCTCCCGAGTAGCTAGGATTACAAGCACCCACCACCATGCCTGGCTAATTTTTGTATTTTAGTAGAGACGGGGTTTCACCATGTTGGCCAGGCCGGTCTCGAACTCCTGACCTCAGGTGATCCACCCGCCTCGGCCTCCCAAAGTGCTGGGATTACAGGTGTGAGCTACCATGCCCGGCCTTTCAAATTTTTATAATCAACTTCAAGGTAATGACTTGCAAGGACCCAAATTAACTCTAACTTTAATCTACCTGCAGAACACCTATCTACTCTGTACTTCCTCACCTAGATGTTTCCTGCCACTTAAAAGTAAACATGTCTGGAAACAAACGCCTCACCTTCCTCTCTAAGCATGATGGCATTTTTAACTTCAAGAGATTTAGAAGCTGTGCCTCAGTCTGAATCTGCCACTCTGGATCAATTGATTTAATCAGTTACCGAGAATAAACTGGATTTTTCTCTTCTATATCATTAAAAAATATTGACTCAATTTTTTAAATTATCATCATTTAATTCAGGTCTTTCTCTCCTCATATATGGAGTACTGAAATAACCATGTAACTGGGTGTCCCTGACTTCATTTTTTTCCCTCCAGGCAGTAATTCAACAGGAATCTTCATGTCAAACTGGTTTCCTAACATATATCACATCATTTGCAGTAGCATTTCAAAGTGCCACGCACCTCTCCTTATCTTGACATTTAGTCCCATCTACTGATCACTGTTGTTTTATCTTCTCCAGTTCATAGTATACTTTTGCCGTGGCTTGGGTGTTCCACTGACTGTGAACTGGACATGACTGATATCTCACTGCCCAATCCTTTGTTCCTGCTATTTTCTTTCTCTGGAGTCCCTCCCACATCCTCTCTGCCTATCTAAATACTTCAATTCAGGACCAGCATAATCAATTTTACCCTTCCTTCCTAAAATCTTTTCTGATCTTCTCAGCCCAAATAATTCTCTTCCTTTGCAGAGCTGCTCTAGTGCATACTGTTGTGTATTGTCTCTCTGTCTGCGTGCTGTCATGCCACAAGTAATACCTGGTATTTCGAATACCCTTCAATACCTGAAGGAGTGTTTTATCCCATAGTAGGGGCTTAATCAGAATATATGAACTGACTTTGCTGACCAGAAATTACTCATACAATTATATCTCCTCCTCTGTATATTTTCTCTTTTAAGACTTAATTTTTCATTCTCATCTGTTCTGCATTTTCCCAAAGTGTCATGTTCAGTTCTTGGCTGTTGGAAAGCAAATACCATTTTTCTTACATTTTTAAGTCAAAAGGGGCAAATTACTACCATTGAAGTCAGCTGACTGATTTTTCCAACAGCCAGATACCTGATATTTTTTTACTGACAAGAGCCATTTTGTGGCCCAACTGACCTAGCTTTAGATGACATACATCCTGGGTAGTTCAGGAAGTCTCAATATATGCCTGCCATTTTGGAGTAATTATAAATAGTATTTCCTTTCACTCTCAGAGCTGTCCTGGTTTTGACGATAAAGTATATGGTTACCTGATCTATACTACCTCTCATAAAAATGCATTTTTTCTAACAGAAATTAAAAAGAAACACTGTTATATTTTAATCATATGTCATGTAATAATCCCCCACTATAAAAGCCCAGGAGCATTTTTATTAATGAGCTGAATTTTGTGATTTGGATGGGAAATGTGTTTGCTCCGAGATGGCGTCACAAGGTTTGCATATACCATCTTAGATGATGTGCAATGAAGTGTGAGGACGGGCTGAGGTTTATGAATTTATAATAGGTGCCATGCTGGGAAGGGCTGAAGGCAGAGAGTTGTATCTGACTAAAAAAACCCTACAGAAACAGCTTTCAAAAAAGAAGGTACCAACTGACCTGCGCTTGACCTGATCCACTGCTAACTGAGAAAAAGCAGCAACTTCTAGATTCGACTGAGTTCAAACCAGAGTGGAGAGACTACAAATCAGTGAGCCAAGAGAGAAGATGGATGAAGTCAGGAACTTGTAGGAAGAAGGAAAGAACCATAGCTAGTGTGCTGGCCCTAACCTCAGGGAAAGGGTTTGGCTGCACTGGTTAAAAGAATCAAGAAACTCTTTATATATTTCCTCTGAGATATCATGGCTCTTAAAAAAAAATTCTTGGCAGTGTTCCACTTGTACTACAGAAATCTGTTCAATGTGGACTCTCGGATTTCAGCGGGGGATTTGCCGTCAAATGTTTCGGTTCTGATTCATGGCAAATTTTCACATCATTTGTAGGAAACTTTCAGATTAACTCAGAGAACATACATATACAGGCAGCTGAAAAGGCATGTTTCCAAATTTTAAAAGGAAAAGGAATCATTTTGTAAATGCCTTCTATTAATTATATCTATATCTACAGAAATAGCCCAAGTACTATTGCATTCTTGAAGAGTCTTCAGTCCCTTTTATTTGGAATACAATTTATATGTAATGGTTTATTTCATTTGTGAAAAAATATGCAGCTCCACTTTATAAAATCCAGTAGATACTTTATGATGATTTTCAGAAATTGACCTCCTTAGTACTGTATTTGCTTTATCTAAAAGCATGCTCCAAATGAACCGTTGCTCCATTTCAACCTTCATTTAGTATTCCTCTTGGCGTGTTCTGACAGACAAGCTGCTCTTGCAATCCAACTTCTGCCTTTGAAAGTTGTCAGTTCTGGTCTGGAATATCATGACTGAAGGTTCATTTGTCTTGTCAGAGTTCAAAAGGGCACCTGAGTTTTATCCCCTGCCCGCCCTCCCTTCTTTCCCTGCCTTTCAAAACAATTCTGCAGCGCCACTTGGATTTCGGCCTCGCCTCCTGGACGTGCACATGCTGGCGGAGCGAGGCTCCTTCTGCTCACCTTCCTACTGGAAGGAGCCAGGCTAGAAGGAACGGGAAAATGAAACTTGATGGTATTAATTTTTAAACTCCCAAACCAGTTGCTGTACCTGTCACTTTAGGCTTCTGAATTTCATTAGTGTTGACAGAGATGAACAGCACGTTCTAATTGAGGGCTTGCACCTGCAGCTTGACAGCAGTGGCTTCTTTATTGGCCCTGGGATAAGGCCCCATTCCCCAGGTCTGGTGTTCTGAGAGGTAGCAATCATTTTCTCAGAATGTGCAGTTGGAAGAAGGCAATTGAACTGCAAGCTAGTAGCCAAAGAGAAAAATCTCTCCTTCTTTCTCTATCCTCATCTTCCTTACTCACTCTTCTGCAAACCCTTACCCCTAGTGCTTTGAAATAGTCCCCTCCTTGTAAGCTCCATGTGCTATAAACAGAAGAGAAGAGAGTGGATAAGAATGGAGAAAGAAAAATAAAGAGAGAAAAAAAATTATGATAGGAGAGAAAGACTAAGAGCACAAATATTTGAGCTCATTTAAATAAAATCTCACAATTTTAAAATTATGGCTCCAGATCATTTGTCTGCTCACATATTACTGCCTTTCAGTTCACCCAGTTGTTAAAAAGCAATAGCTTTTTGTCAACAACATGTTCATATGTATAGTTGTATAAATACAAAATTCACTCATACCAATGAATCTGCCTGAGTTATCTCTTATGATTTTGTTTAATTAAAACTATTCTCCAGTGAGTTCAAGAGTATTCACGTGATTATATCTCTAACATTCTTTATAAGTATAAACCCATACATACTTAGCACTGTCGTATGAAATACACACATATGCAAATGGCACACTTGGTACATAATGGGCATTCAATACCACCCACTTACTCTCTATAATAAGTGGAATTGTCTTTACAATACATGAGTGAAAATAAAAGTTAGTTTCATATATACATATGAAACTGTATATATATATATAATATCCTAATATGTTTTACTTGAAAACCTACAACATTTTAAAACATAATTATTTAGTATCTGCATTAATAAATGAAATTATTTGGCTTCTTAAAATAAGCTATTCTGTAGCCATTTGGGGAGGCAATAGCAATTAAGAATGTTTGAATCAAACAGATCAGGCTTTCAGATTTCTGCAACTTATTATATATGTGATGTTGGTCAAGTAATTTAACCTTCAAGTCAATTAAAAAATAAGGATAATTCTGTAGAAAAATGGGCAGATGTTTTGAATAGGCACATCACAAACAGAGCTATACAAATGGCCTATAACCATCAGGAAAATACAAAGCATTTTGGAGAACATTTTTCTAATATCTAATGAAGTTAGGCATATTTACATATTCCGACAATTCTAATTCTAAGTGTATGTCCTAGAAAAATGCAGGCATATTTACACCAGATGATAGGAATGACAAAGTTTGTAGGAGCAGTTTTCAAAACACTTATTAAGTGGAAACAATTCTAATATCATCAGTAGGAAAATGAGTAAGTAATTAATTAATGAAAATGACTGAACTGCAATTATAAACAACAGCACAATGGATTTTTATCAATGTAAGGTTTAGCCCAAAAAGCAAGACATAAAGAAAAAAAACTGTATGATTACAAAAAGCCCTTATCTGCATTGGATAAGTAGGAATATTTAAGTTGTAAAGCCATAAAATAATTCGTTAAAAAAAGTCAAGATAATGGGTATCTTGTTGTGTGTTTTTTTGTTTTTGTTTTTGTTTTTTTTGATAGATAGTCTCACTCTGTCACCCAGGCTGGAGTGCAGTGGTGTGATCTTGACTCACTGCAACCTCCACCTCCTGGGTTCAAGTGATTCTCCTGCCACAGCCTCCTGAGTAACTGGGATTACAGGTGCATACCATCAGACCCTGCTGATAATGGTTATCTTTAAAGAGGAAGTTAGGGATTGGATTCAGAAGGAAGGAGCTTCTGGGTAATAGTCTGTTTCTTGACCTAGATGGTGGTTGCCTTTACATTTATATCTTAAACACTTTTTCTTATATGTATTGTATTTTTATTGTAATAAAAATGACTCTTTAAAAAGCAATACTTTTAGCTTTCTGTAGCTACTTCTACTAAATCTCCCAAGAAATAAATTCACAGGATCATAAGCAAAACTATTTGGATTTCTGGAATCTAATCTGAGACATTTCCCATTTTTAACCCCATTTTCTGAGTTACATTTATATCCCATGTCTTTCTGTCAGTGTTCTTAATTTAAAATCTGGGGTCTTGAGTCAGAATTCAGAAATGATTATTTTAGTCTATTGTGTTTGCAAAAGAAACACATCCTTTAAGAAAAAAACGTCCCTTTTTTGGTAGTGTGAGCTTCTGTAAGATTTAAGTACATGATTCCTGTCCTTGGTTGGGTTGCTCACATTCTTTGTCATGTCTCCTGGGTGGTATTTTCCACATTTGTTCTACGTCCCTGGGTGAAAGTCAGCCATCTTCCATGGACATTGTACAGAATTTCCAAGGATACACCATCAGTTTTACCATATGTCCCATACCCCACCTTGTGCACCCTGAAGGATGAAGCACTGGGCTACTGTAGAATAATTTTCTGGACGCTAGACCAATTTGTAGTATATATGTAGGAAGCCTTAAGAAAGTATTGTATTCCCTGAATGCTAGGGGCTTGGGAGGAAGGGACAGAGTAGTGGGTGTCAGGTCAATCTCTACCTGCTTTTTTTTTTTTTTGGACGAAGTCTCACTCTTGTCCCCCAGGCTGGAGTGCAATGGCACGATCTCAGCTCACTGCATCCTCTGCCTCCTGGGTTCAAGTAATTTTCCTGCCTCAGCCTCCGAGTAGCTGGGATTACAGGTGCCTGCTACCACGCCCGGCTAATTTTTGTATTTTTAGTAGAGATGGGGTTTCACCATATTGGCCAGGCTGGTCTTGAATTCCTGCCTCGGCCTCCTGAAGTGCTGGGATTACAGACATGAGCCACCGCGCCCGGCCTCTCCTGCTATTTTATAGCTCCTTACCCTAGTAGCATCCTGCACTGACTATATGTTATCATTCTTCAGGATACCTTGATGTGGGCTTTCAATGAAGTCCTAAGTGAAGTCCTAAGGCAATCGTGTAAGGAAAGGGAAGAGCAAAATTTAAGCCATCTTTTAAAAATTTATCTTCTCAAGTAGCCACCAACTACCTTCTCTCCTTGGCTGCAACAGCAGAATAGCCTTCAGTTTTCCCAAGGTTTTCTTTCTTGGTATGTTTCCATTCTTGTTATTTCTTGTATTACATGTTTCGTCTGTATTTTTTCAAGGACTTTTTTTTTTTTTGAGATACCCAGTGTAGTGAGATGGAGACTCTGAATCAGTGCCTGCTTGGGTGTTTATGAGCTTGACAAGTAGATGCTAAAATATACCCATATCCTGGAAACTGATAGAATTTATCACATGACAAGTCTATAGTAGAAAATAAATGTAAATCTAGCCTGGATCTGAAGATAAGACAACCAGGGAGAACCAAAGCTAAGAAAATCAGGTCCCCCAGACCCCCAAAATACAAAAAGTAGAAAGGGCAAATTTGTGTGGATGAAATAATTCATACAAGTTGAGGCTGTATATTATTAGCACTTCATCCAAGTTTAAAGATACTTAGAATATCTGTTGATTATTAGCACAGCATAGCTACTCATTGAATTCAGTTACACAACCTTGATGAATAGTTATGGAGTACTTCCCATCCTTAATATTATTAAGCACCTATTATTGCTTACTCTTTTAGGCTAATGGAAGCACGACAGTGAGCAAGACAGACAAGGTCACTACCCGCAAGGAGCTGTTGATGGAGAATAACATGCAAAGAAGAAGGTAGGATGCAGACTTATGTGCTCCCATTTCAAGTTGATTTGACCCAGAGCATAGGTGAAGGATTTGATCTTGTATGGGGACAGGAAATCTTTTTCCACTGTGGAATATAACAAAGAATAACGGATTAGTGGTGGAAAGCAAGGGAAATTATCACCTGATTTTTTTCTAGGTAAGAAACTGACCAGATTGCTTACTGTGAGTGGGAAGGTGGTGAAAAAGTTACAGGTGGAGAGTGCTGAAAAGAGCAAAGAACACAGTAAGAGACGTGAGTATGGAAACATGGAGGTAGTAACAGACACCATTAGGAGAACAGCAGGGGTTGAAGATCATGAATTTACAGTAAATCAATATGAATAATTTTGTGATATTTTTAGCCACTTGCAACCACTCAGAGTAGATTTATTCAGTATTGAGGTTGCTGAGTGGGTCTGAATGAAAGACTATTAAGGAAAAGGAAATACTGGGAAGATGGTTCATTGGATTGTTGAAAAATTGTGTTGACTTCATATTGAAACCTCTTGTTAAATACATCTAAATCTCCAATCTGATATCCTCAAGATTAAAGAACAACTCTGTCCAACAGTTGCTGGAGCAACTATCCACTAGTTGAATGATATTAATTTTGCTGTGTAAAAATAGCTTCAGTTTAAACATTTTAAGAAAGTTATGGGCAAAATAAATGCCTCAGAGGATTTGTGATGGTATAGTTTTTGGTTTCGTGGTCTACAGAAATATTTAAAAGAGCTACAAAATTAGGTAATTTAAGAAGCACTTACTACACAAAATTTGGTATTTTTAGTGGTGACCTTCTTGAAAATTTGTAAAAGTTTAGGTTGAATGATGACTTAAGCATCACTTCATGAACTCATAATGAAATACTTACCTAAATGCTTAAAGAGCCAGAAAAAAAGGTTCACATAATCTGTGGCTAAAAATGTTTAGCCAATCATCTCACCTCAGTAATCATATTTTATGATCAAAGCAAAGACAAAAAGTAAAAATAATGTCTGGTTTCTAGGTTCTTAGCTTTTGCTTTTTCCTAGTAAGGAGAAAACATGCTACAGTTGATGTCCCTTCAAATTAAAATTAATCACATGAGAACTAAACAGCTACTTCAGATGATTACAGACTGAATCTAGCAAAACAATATCAGCCTTGGTGACAATGAAGAGTAAAGGTGTTTTATTGTTCACTGATGTCAGGAAAAAACTTCTCAAGTTGAGAGGGCACACCTTGAGAACACTAGTACAGCAATATCACTTGGTGTTTTGAAGTCTCAGAGAAATGGTCACTCTGATTCTGAATTTCTAAGCATGGGTATCAGCAGACTTATTTTATTTTATTTTTTAGCATGGCAGCTTTCAGAAAGGAGAGTTGCAAGCTGATCAAAGCCAAAACATGTGCTTTAAAATTGATACTGTGCAATCACCAACTAGCTAGGCAATCTCAAAAATGGCTTCACTTTTCTTAGCGTCAGTTTCTTCAACTGTAAATCAAAGAAGTGCTACTCAATAATTTCTAAAAGTCCTTTCAGTTCAAATAGCATGTGCCTTTTAAAGATAGTGTTTTGTGGATTGTACATATTATCTCTCAACAGTGACTAGTCCAGCTTTTCAATGAAAGGAGAGTGAATTATTCTGATAGTATCTTAAGGGGGCGATCTAACAGGTTGGTGGAATGGGAAAAATACATGCCTACAAAGCACAAAACTTAGGTTTGGGTCTGGTAATTCCATCAAATGTTGTTGACAGCAATTTCCACATTGGTAACATGGGAATTGTCATATACCCTTCCTCTTGCAGGATCAAGATGCAGCAATATATATGAAAGAACTCTAATAAAATAACACAATACAACCAGGAAAGACTATCAAAATATGAATGATTTGTTCTCTGTGCAAGTTTAAGCACATGTCATCATTAAGCTCTAGAAGGCTAGGGACTGTGTATTAGCACTGGGGTTTGGAGTACAGGATTTATATGCCCACCAGAAAAACTGGATTATGTGTAGTAGAACTGTTAGGTTAATTCTTCTCAAATTAATCTTTTAGTAAAAGTAATCCTAGCTAATATCCCTGAAAGTTTATTTGGGTTATCTTATAGGTTGAGACTAAAATTTATTGGGATAAGAAAACAGGCAAGAACAACCAAGTTGATTTTGAAAAATAGCAAGTGATAAAGGCAATGGAAGTGGTGGGGGTTGGGAGAGGTTTGACCTATGTAATAACAAAACAGAATGGACATGAGAACTCTGTCACTTGGCATAAAGATCATTTGGCAAAAAGATGGTTAATACTGAATAGAGAATCTATTGAGTTTGCTAATTAAGAATATTAAATTCATTAGAAAAACATGAAATATTCTACAGCATTGTGGCAATCTGCTGTTCTTTAGAATCCTTAAGCTGACGTTTATAGAATTACCAGTGTAAAAGAACAAAACTCTAAAAATTGCAGAAGAAAATACAGGCAAATATGCTTGCCAATCTGGGCTTATCAAGATAGAAAATGCAAAAGCTATAAAGGAAAATAATATTGAAAATAAAGTGTTAAATAAGAAACTCTAATAAACCATCTTTAAACCAAGTTAAAAGATGATTTTCAGACTAAAAAAATTTGCATAAAAAGGATTAAGATTTGGAATAAAGAAGCACTGTATGAACACATTAAAAATCCAGAAAAAGATGAAAGGGAAGGGAAAGGAGGACAGGGGAAGGGAGGGGAGGAGGAAGAGAGAAGGGAGAAGGGGGAAGGGGGAAGAAAGGGAAGGGTAGAAAGAAGGAAAGAGGGAAGGAAGGAAGGAAGGAAGGAAGGAAGGAAAGAGTAACCTGAAGTTACTGATATTTATTGATAGCATTCTTGAACCCCTAATATGAGAATAAAGCCAATCTATGCTCTCTAAGGCCTTTTGGATATCAGATAAACATGAGTGGATTAGGGTTGTGGCAATTTTATTCGTGTCTCTAGGTTTAGCTGGAACTAAAAAAAATTGTGAGAGACAGAAAGAAAAGAAAGCCTGCAACAACTGCCATACATGTTTTCAAATTCTTTTCACATTTGACTTTGTGATTTTTTTATTCTTGGGAATGCAAAGGCAGATAAAATAAAATCAAACCAAACAAAAGATTTCCAATGATGCGGTTTGGCTTAATTAAGCCTTCGAACACATTCAGGCTTCCTGTTCAGACTATGTGAATATTAAAAGTACAATCTATGTCAAGGTAGACTCAGTTCCTATCTACTATTTTTATACTTTTGAAGCTGTATTTTATAGGTGTTTGTGTGATAACAGCACCTTTACTCATACTTTATGCTTACCAAAGAACGGTTAATAGATTTTATAGAGTTTGGCCAAGGTCTAAATTTAGACAGAGGGCTCGTGGTGGTCTTGCGTACCCAGGTATGTTTTGCTTTAAACATAATTAGATTTCATTGTGTGCCCAATAAACATTTTATTGAGAATGTGTCACAATGTCCATGGCCATATAGCTATCCTAACAGCCAAAGCACTTGTTGACCTTCAATTCTTTCAGTCATATTAGTAGTGTGAAACTGATTGTTTGGAAACTGGAAGGGACAGTCTGCTTAAGGCTGAGCAAAATTAGCCTGGAGGTAGCCTTGACTCTCTCAGCCTAGGAGGCAATACGCACTTTCTCCTGGGGGGCAAAACACACTTTCCCCTGCCCAGAGAGCAGTGGTGAGGCAGGATGTCAGTTGCAATATTGTTCTACCCATCAACTCTGCATCTGTTCCTGCATCTCTACATAATCCATCTCTACATAATCCAAACTTTCCCACTTTTCAAGACCTAGCTCAATGTCCACATGTTTCTAAAAACTTTTCTCATCTCTTGATGCTTTTTCATTTTTCATATCTGTAGAATATCCTTGATAGCTCTCTGAGACATTTATCATCATCCATCTTATCTTTGGAGATGTCTCATTTCAAAAGTAGATTCTTGGCCAGGCACAGTGGCTCATGCCTGTAATCCCAACACTTTGGGAGGCTGAGGTGGGTGGATCATGAGGTCAAGAGATTGAGACCATCCTGGCCAACATGGTGAAACCCCGTCTCTACTAAAAATACAAAAATTAACTGGGCGTGGTGACGCACGCCTGTAGTCCCAGCTACTCAGGAGGCTGAGGCAGGAGAATCGCTTGAACCCAGTAGGCGGAGGTGTCAGTCAGCTGAGATCATGCCACTGCACTCCAGCCTGGCGATAGAGTGAGACTCCATCTCTAAATAAATAAATAAATAAGTGTAGATTCTTAAAAACAAATCTTGTTAAAACATTAAATGAAGACAATAACAACTTTGAGGCTTTCTCTTTATATTTTATTTGATTGTGAAACATTCTGCTTGCTAAAATGGTGGCTTAGAACTTGATAGACAGTACAAATCAGTGAAGAGGAATTCTCTGAGTCAAGATGCCACATGACACTTGAGTGTCACATTATGGGAATCTGGCTTGAGCAGGTCCACTCCTTATTGGGGCAAATCCAGACCTTTAATATGAAGACCATGGAAAATTAGGGGTCCATAGCACCCCTCTGTGTAGGAACAGAACCTTGTTCTATTGGAGACATTGCTTCCAGTGAAAACACTATATACCTCTTTTTCCCTTTGCAGCCCTGTGTAGGCCTGTGACTGTGTTTTGTTTAAGAGATATAAGTGGGAAGTTCCTTTATGAACCATCCCTAAAGTGTGCCTCTTTTGCCTTATCTTCCATATTGCTGTTTGGCATAAGAATGTGAAGGCTGGACTTTAAACAGCCACTGTCAGCCATTAGGAGAGATCCAAACTACAGTGACTTTAGGAGGTGGAAGCAGTTCAAGTCTGTACAGAATATGTTGTCTTTGGGCTTCTTTTAAGGAGAGAAAGAGAAACAACCAGCAACTTCTATCAACCTGGCAAATGGTAGTTACTACAACTTGTCCATTGTTAACTTATGGTTTGGTCACATGCTCATGAACTTACTCCTAACTGATATGTTCTAGAGAGCTTGGTTTACCTCTGCTAGCCTAAGAGTGGTGAACTTAGTTCATTCAGAAACAGCAAGAAAATGGCATTTAACAGAGCCCCCGAGTTCACTGTGTGTATTCTGAAAAGACTATGAATAGACCAGACTCTGAAACAAAGCTCAGAAACATCATGAGCTGAGAACAAGACTCCAAGCCTGACTCTCTGCTTTAGCCTCCACCCATGCCTGTTGCCACTGCCATGCTCTGGTTTGAGGTCACATTACTTCTCAGCTGGAAGATTGGGAATGTTTCTTTTCCAGTTTTACCCTGTTCGGTTCTCCCTGATACATGCTACAAATAGAGTCATCATTTCACAGTGTAACTTTGAATATCTGCTGTTTGCTAAAAATGCAACTTTTTTCCTATTGCTATCTGATATTTTTCAAGCAGCTTACCTGACAAGGTAATGCATGCTTTTGAATCAATTCTTCTTCTAGTACTGCTTCTGTCTACTCTTCCTTGTGTAACCTGTGCTTAAGCAAAATTTACAACTTACAGTTTCTAGTATGAGCCCAGCAGTGATTGACCTCTTGCACACAGTCTTGTCTAGACTATTACTGATACTTGAAATGCTTTTCTGCGCCATCTTAAATGGTCTTACTCTACCCCTTCTTCAAGATTCAGCTCAAATGCTCTCATCTTTGATATCTTCTTTTATAACAATGGCAGCTCTTAAACTTCCAATTCTACTAATAAAAATAAAGAACAGGTGTTGCAGGAAGTCAGGGACCCCAAAAGGAGGGACCGGCTGAAGCCATGGCAGAAGAACGTGAATTGTGATGATTTCATGGACATTTATTAGTTCCCCAAATTAATACTTTTATAATTTCTTATGCCTGTCTTTACTGCAGTCTGTAAACATAAATTGTAAAGATTTCATGGACACTTATCACTTTCCCAATCAATACCCTTGTGATTTCCTATGCCTGTCTTTACTTTAATCTCTTAATCCTGTCAGCTGAGGAGGTTGTATGTCGCCTCAGGACCCTGTAATAATTGCATTAACTGCACAAATTGTACAACATGTGTGTTTGAGCAATATGAAATCAGGGCACCTTGAAAAAAGAACAGGATAACAGCAATTGTTCATGGAATAAGAGAGATAACCTTAAACTCTGACCCCTGGTGAGCTGGGCGGAACAGAGCCATATTTCTCTCCTTTCAAAAGCAAATGGAAGAAATATCACTGAATTCTTTTTCTCAGCAAGGAACATCCCTGGGAAAGAGAATACGTGCCTGGAGGTATAGGCCTATAAACAGCCTCCCTAGGTGTGTCTGTCTCTTATGGTCAAGGCTGTAGGGGTGAAATAGACCCCAGTGCTCCCAGGCTTGTTAGGAAGAGGAAATTCCTGCCTAATAATTTTGGTCAGACCGGTTGCTCTCAAAACCCTGTCTCCTGTTAAGATGTTATCAGTGACAATGGTGCCCAAAACTTCATTAGCAATTTTAATTTCGCCCTGGTCCTGTGGTCCTGTGATCTCACCCTGCCTCCATTTGCCTTGTGATATTCTATTACCTTGTGAAGTACTTGATGTCTGTGGCCCACACCCTATTTGTATACTCCCTCCCCTTTTGAAAATCCCTAATAAAAACTTGCTGGTTTTGTGGCTTGTGGGGCATCACGGAACCTACCGACATGTGATGACTCCCTCGGATGCCCAGCTTTAAAATTTCTCTCTTTTGTACTCTGTCCCTTTATTTCTCAAGCCGGCCGACGCTTAAGGAAAATAGAAAAGAACCTATGTGAATATCGGGGCAGGTTCCCCGATACACAGGTCTTGAATAACTACTGTTAAGTCAAAAACTAAGTGATTTGAAATTTTACTGTACTTGCAAGCTAACGATTTAACTTGCTCTGGTCTGTCTATGTATCTGTGTATCAATGTATCTATCTATGTATCTATCTATGCATCTACCTATCATCTATCTAACATCTACCAACTACATCTATCTCTGGGTCAGAGACAAAGGCAGTATATTATGACTAAAGCAGCAGCAAAAGCAACAATTTTGGGTGGGTTCCTCAATGCCCCATTTCCCACAAGGGTATGTGGCAAGTGCCATCCATTACCTGTGCATCAAAGTCATGCAATTTCAAAATTCAGAAACTCTGCTCTTACATAGGACCGCTGGTGACATGCTCAGCCTCTTCTCCCATAAAAGAGAGAGATCTTATTGTTACTCCAAGATGTATACACAGATGTCCTACTTTATTACGATGTAATGTAAACGAATCTCCTCCAGGGAGGAAAAGGGAAAGTATTTACCTTTACTATCCTGAGATGTCTCCAGGGAGGGAGGCATCTTTAGCTTTACTATCCTAGAATATTTTCTTATACAAACATAGGCTATAAATGCCTTTTCTCAGGCAGCTTGACCCATGCAAAAACAAGAGATAATCATGAAGAATTGTCTTCCAACAACCACCATGTGTCAGAGACATTATATAGTTTCTCTCCAATCCTAACCATAACTTTGTAATTTAGATATTAGTATTCTAGTTTTGCAATTGAAGAAATTAGAGCTTGAAAATCTCAAATAACGTTTCCGAAGCTACACAGTCTAGTAAGTGTCTGAGTCTGGATTCAAGCTGTGGTGGTCATTTGGCCTTAAAGCCAATACTTCTTCCATTGCAAAAGCAATGTAGTACATCCTCCACTGAAAGAAGCTTTGTGGGGCCTGATGTGAATTTCTTTTATGTCATATGTTGTCTATTTTTCTTATTCTCATGTAAGCTTTATGAGGACAGAATCATGTCTTTATCCTCTACTGTGCCTAAGAAAGAAGTAGCCTGCAATGATTGGGTGCCTTATTAATATTGTCTGAATGAAGAAAATCCGTCCAAATAGGTATGATGAAAACTTGGCATTATACAACTTACATAATACATGACTGTGGAAAAGAGGTCATATCATAAAATTCAAATATGGGAAGCTTTTACTTGAAATATTAATAGCGATCTCAACTAGTTTTTACTCAGCTGACAATTTTGCCCAAATGTTTATGAAAATTTGATGTCTAAAGTTTAGAAAAAGTGACTAAGAGTTGATAATCAGTGAGGAGGAATAAATAGAAAAATTGTTTGAATCAACTCACAAGAGAACTAATGTTTTAATATAGGGTATCTTGAAAAATGAAAAATTTATTGCACTTTAGAACTAAACTTCTTCAATTCTAACCAAAAATATACTTTATGCTGAAGAGTCAAAATTCATGGTTGAGTTACAGACGTTTTTCTCTCTCAATCTGGTTCTGGAGTAAAAGTCTTTGTCTTACGACAGTTTATTCTAAAGTGCTCATCTTCTATTTACATAGCCCATTTTCTATGAGCATAATTCTTATCACTGGAATATGTGTCCATAGTTCCTCCTTGCCTGAAACCAGGCTGCTCCTTTACTCAGAACCGAGCTTCTTAAATAAAAACATTGGAGAGTGTTAAAACAAACATCTATTGTAAAACTTAGTCTCAATTTTGTCATTAAGTACTCAAGTTATTCAGTAGAATAAATATATTTGGTTACTCTACCCCTTCTTCCCTTTAGGTTAATGTTCACTGCATTCTTTTCCTCCTTAGGTTAAATCATGAGTTTTCAAGACTGGTCTTGCATTTCTACTAAGAACTTGCTTTGAATATGTGCCCCTTCTTGAGATGAGAAACATTTATTCCTAATATACATTGAAAGAACAAAAATACATTTACGTTGTATTTTAATAAATACTAAAAACGATATTTTAAAATAAAGGGGACATTTTTACCTTTCTCAGAAAAGATATAACAAGAAAACAGAAATGCATGTACTCATGTGTGGGAGGAAGATTATGTTTCATTATACTTTCAGCTACTTTGGCAGTTGTTTTCCATATATATATATATATGCAGGATATTAAAGTGTTAGCTACGTGTGTGTGATTTACTGTGCAACTTCACCCAAAAAACCCTTCTATTTTAGTAGAGTTCAATATATTTCCTTTGGGGAAGATTAAATAAACTATGTTAACTCAGTTAAATTTGGAGTCTGATGACAAATGACTAAATGTGTTCAAATTGGGCAGGCAGAGGAAATCTGTCCAGCAAAGGACTAAACTTGGAAATAATGTTTGAATGTACACTGGTAAACTTTTTCAGCTTATTGCTTTAGAGTTTAGTATTACAGTATGACATTAATTTTAAGCAGTAAATTTAACAAGTAGAAATAAGATTCCTACACAGTGACACACAACCCAGCTATGCAGCTATACACTAAAACTCAAATAGACATATTTCAAGATAAAATTACATGAAATCAGGATGGGGTTAGTGAAACATATTTTAGATTTCATTTTTGTTTATGGCAATGAGGAAAATTTTATGTAGTCCCTTTGTGTAGTTTGACACAACAGACAAAAGTATATATATATATGCACACACATGCACACACACATATGTCTACTTTACTCCAGAAGTAAATTATTCTGGAGTTAGAAAATATATCCTTACTGTGAATTTTTAAATCCGTTATTTTTTATAAGCTATATAAAAACATATATAAAACAAGGGTTAAGAATTTACTTGGATTCAACCAAGTTCAGGCCAGTTGACATTGCAGTTAAAGTTAGGAAAATAAATACTGAGGCATATTTTTAAGTGTTATGCTCAAGATCAAAGCTGAAGTTGACGGCAGGCAACTGGACATCCTAACTATACTACATGTTTCTGAAAGTAGAGGTTTGGAACTATTAACATAATATATAATGTTCTTCCATCTTCATAATACCTGAGTGACTTAGCTAAGATATATAAAAGATAACCTATTGCTATTAATGCTAAACTGATGGATGCACAAATAATTTTTTTCTGTGCTGTGACTATTAAACCTTAGGAAAACACATACGGATATAAACAGAGCCCTGGAGTATACAACATAGCCCCCAACATCTTCCTTTTATTCAATCCTTGATGCCCAAACAGAGCTATGCACCTTGGGAAATACCCAGTGCATTCCTTTCATCCTCAGAACAGAAACTAGGCTCCATGGCTTTGTCTATTCATAGAATATTCCTCCTGGAGGGCAATCCATATTTTCAACTGCTATTCTTATTAAAAGG
This sequence comes from Homo sapiens, assembly GCF_000001405.40. Lineage (NCBI taxonomy): Eukaryota > Metazoa > Chordata > Mammalia > Primates > Hominidae > Homo > Homo sapiens. The sequence goes on from NC_000006.12 coordinate 22,527,875, forward strand.
AAAATCAAATTTGATGAGAACAAAAACTTGGTAACAGTACAATAATGTAATAAAATACTTTATCTCTTAACTGTTCTTATGTTTCCTATGCAGCCTAGTCTGCTTTCCCAAGATCATAAAACCCAACAAATGATCATCTTACAGTCTCGAGTATGTTAAATGTGTATTTTTTTTCTTCTAGAACATCCATAATGAATCTCTGGATTTTTCTGAGTCAAATAAACAAAAGATGATGTTTTCACATCACAAAACCACAATGGTTTGCCATTTTTTTTCATTAAACTTCTATGTAAATGCATAGATGTCTCAAATAATTTCTGATGTCACAAAGAATTTCTCAGGGATTTCTGATGTCTTGAAGAATTACAGCCCCAGCACTGAGGATCCAGGCCATTGAACTAAAGATGGACAGGGTTTCTCAGGAGATTAGAGATAAAGTTCAGATAAAGTTTGCATCGTCTTGAAGGAATTACACCTATTTTTTTTGAAAACATATTATCACACTGCAGAAAATGTAAAATGAGCTGTACCCATGAGACATTGCCATGAGCTAAGACAGGAACTGTGGGACAGTGCAACATAAGACTTTGCAATACAAAAAATAAAATATCACAAGCTGTAGAAAACTTTTCACCAGAAAGAAAAATATCTATTTATTAAACTGTTTGCAAGAGTACTGTGCAAAATGGAATATATAATTGCAATTTAGTTTGAAAGATTTCTTGAGTCTTTAAAAATGTTCTGATTCTACTTTTCTATCTGGAAACGAATGTGTTGCCGATGAACCACTCACATGAAGCATTAGTGGCTGGAGATACCATCACCTATGGTGTCATGCTGGACCTCTGTTGATTTTGATCAATTTTAAGTGTAAATGATTGAATAGCTTAAAAATGAGTAGCTTTTAGTAAACTATTATAAGTGAGTAGAATTGCACTTAAAAGATTGCAAGATGGGGGCGGGTTAATGTGCCCGGCAATCTAATTGTTATTGGAAAAAATAATCTCTTTGAGCTGAACAGCCATGGAGAATTAGACAGCAGGACTTTGACAGATAGGTATCAAGTCCCTGTTTGAACTCAACCACTAAGTGTTTTGCTTTTATCTCTCTGTCTATTCACGATAACTTCTGAGCAAGCTAAAGGACTTTGAGCTTAGTAGAAGATTCAAGATGTACCTTAATTTCAATTAATGGGTCAGTCTGCCACCTTGATTTTATAAAAGATAGGATCCTTTTGGGCTATTATAATATTATTTTTCATATTTTTTTGTGTCAAAGAAAATAGCTAGGTTCTTTACTACTCTATTCCTTGATATAAATATTGATTTATAGTGATTCTTGGTTTAATTTCCTTAAAGGCAATGTTTCAGATACTTATCTTCAACATATCTTGTTATATAATCTTTAACAAATAAAAATGGTGGAATTTTCTCTTATTTTAAGATTTTTTTTTTTTACCTTATTATGGCAAAAAAATGTGACATTAGATCTACCTTCTTACAAATTGTTCAGTGTACAATACAGCATTGTTAATTATAGAGACACAGTTGTATAGCAGATCTCTAGGACTTACTCATTTTAAATATTGAGACGTCATGCCTACTGATAATTTTCCCTTGTTGTAAAGTCAAATAAATTAAAATTTGCCATTTTTTTCTGCAGTAGATAGAATGTGAAGGTAACAACTCAAAAACTCTGAAGATAAGTTTTGTGAGGCACCTAATAGAACTTTAATTTTTTATAACCTACATTTGGAAAATTTTGTGTTCCACCCCACCTCAACCAATACACACACACACACACACACACACACAAACACACACACACATATTTTCTAGAACTACAATATTCTAAAATAGTACCCAGGGGATGCCTTAGATATTCCATGAAATATGTCCAGCCAATTGCTATATAATATTCCCACTGTTCTCCTCTTCTCCTGCTCAGTTTCTCTCCTTGCTGTTAGAATCCAGATTCTGCTTGTTGTCAAAACATTGTTGAGTTCTCTGGAGTTGTCAAAGTGCTAAGGGCAGTTCATATTCAGGCAGTAGTTTAGAGAATCACTTTGGACAGTACATAGCATTACGCATTTCCAAAGTGGTTATTGTAAAACCAGCTTGTTGAAAAATATGTATAGCCCCTTTCCTTCACACATTTTTGTGGCTCAGGCTACTCCATTAAGAGAAGACTGGGAGAAACAGCTTAGTCACATTGCCTCAGAATCAGCCCTCCCAACTGATAGAATCTGCTGGACTTTCTATTCCCATGAAGTTGTCTTCCAGGAAATTCTTCAGTTCCTTTTGCTGATAGCCTTAGGTTGGGCTTCCCCATTAATGTGACTGAATGTATTTGTATCAAAGCAGTTGGATACTGCTAAGGATTAAGCCATTTGTCTATCAACTCCGTTATTTTTACAGATAAGAATCCTTTGTAGGGAAGAGAAGAACTATTTTGATGCAAATTATTACTAAGTCTTCCACGTTATCTTCTGAAACCCTCTGATTGCTAAGGGTAGAATGAGACTCTGGTAGTTCAAGATGCATGCTATTACAATTTTCTCAATGAACGAAAATCTGCATTATTATTATTATTTAATAATAATCAGGTGAGCACCATATCTCGTAAGGCAGTCATTCTTTGGAAATCCATTAGTGAAACCCAGTAACCTTATAATAAGTAGCCACACATCAAAATACTTTGTACATTTTAAGATTTATGGAACTTTTCTCTGGACTAGAGAAATGTTATGTCTGCATTCTTCTCTCTGTATCCCATGGCTAAACTTAGCCCTGAAGTTCATCTGAAGCATTTAGTAACATTCTCAAGACCTCATAAGCTATTAAATACCTCACAGCTTCTCTGGTGCTGACAAGGAGGCAGAAAAGGCTACCTCATAGCTTAGCAAACCTCCCATCAGGCCTTGGTGTGTGCAAGCAACAGCTTCATGACCGTAGAATTTTCACTGAATGAGAAACTTTGAACCCAGAAGGCACCTCTTTCTCTGACTTCATCTGATATAGCCCCATCAAAACTAATTTTTTTAGGAGCAAACCAGTACTCTACAGGCAGCTGTCTTCATACTTTGAAATTATTTAAAGTATCCCTGTAATTTGGAAACAAAATTGAACACAGTCAATTTAATATAAGTATATTATATTGAAGGCATACGTTTTTTCGCTTTTGCAAGTAAGTATTGCAAAAAGAACGGGCTGTTCCTACCAACCTAACAAATCAAGGAGGTAAGATAGTTCATCCAAAAATGTAAAACTTTCCTAAATAGTTTAGAAAAAGCAAAAAAAAATTGTGAAAAGCAAAAAAAACTTCATATGTATGATATTTCCCCTATTCTTTAGCATCTAGCTCCTGAAATATGTCCCTTAGATGTAGTAGAGCATTTCAGGCAAACAAAATACTATATTCACTTCAAAGAAAAGAAACTTCTTATATTTTCAAACAATTTATTTTTTTCTAATTATGGAATATATTTATTATGGAAATAGCAAAAAGTTATATATAGAAGAAAAATGATTTCCTACAATTTTATTCCTGAGTGTTATTCACTTTTAATGCCTTATTCTATTTACTTTTAGTCTGTCTACCAACCACACTATATAAAAATAAGTATAATAATTATAGTAGTAATAAAAGCTAATATTTATTGAGCATTTACTATCTATCTGTCCCAGTCATACATGCTTTTAAAATATTAACCACATTTAATCTTCATAATATCTCGCTGAATGAAATAGTATTAATATTATCCAACTTTTTATAGAAGAAAAAATTGACGCACAGAGAAAGTAAACAACTCTTTTCCAGGTCACATACATAGTGTGTGGCAAATCTGGGAAAGGAACATGCAGGTGAGTGCACATGAGCACATACACACACACAGAACAAGCCTACACACAACTACACAAACCCAACACATGCATGCACTTTGTCCAGCTTGTTGGTATTTAATATTTTGTGAATAATTTTAAAATAACATAAGCCTATTTAAAAAAACATAGAAACGGAACAAAAATTAAAAAGAAAAATCATCTAATCTCATCATTTAAGGTAACCTTTGTGAACATATGTAAACTATTTTCTTCTACTCAACTTGTTCTATATTTTGAAATGTATTGGATAACTCTACACATATAGTTTAATATGCTTCTTTGTGTGTTTTTACTTAGCAGTAGAGTAAATGCATTATTTCATAATATTGAATGCTGTAGTACCATAACTTTTCCTAAGCCTGTGATATTTTTGTTAGCATATACATTTCAAAAAGTCAATAAAAGAGCTGCTAGTACAGAATTAAATATTGTGAAAAATAAGAAAATATACTTATTATTTGGTAATTCAGATAACTAATCCAAAAAATTTTTGAAATTCAGTGATGCCTGATTTTAATGGAGATATTTTATACTAAAGATGGAACTAGAACTAGACTTTAACTTCAGAAGGAACATGGTTTAATGATGAGAACATAATCAAATTATGAATAGCATAGGCAAATCATCGAAGTAAAAGTAAATATTTTATATAGGGGCCACATAGGTTATATGTCAACAGGGATGCTAAATTCTTATGAAGAATAAACTTAGAGGTCTATATTAGAAGAAAGTAGAACGTAAATTGTGATAAAGACAGACTTGGAGAATAGTGAATTCCAACAAGACAGTTGTTTCTATCTAAAGAACAGAAATACAGCTGAATAATGTATACTATTAAATACGTTCTAAATGGACTTATATTTGCTTAGGTAGTAGTAGATTTCACCACAAAATCCCTCATTTCTTGAGGTGGGAGGAACAGAATACCATATGAATGTGTTCAAGAATGTTTATCTCATGAAAATAGAAATGTGTGATTTTAACCAATCAACCAATCTGTCTTTTAATTAGTGTTTATCCCATTTACATTTAATATAATTTAATAATGTGATTTGGGTTAAATCTATCCCTCAGTAATATAAATACAAAAATCCTAAACAAAACATTAGCAAATCAAATCAGAAATTACATAAAAAGCTGTCATCACAGCATAGTAGAGTTTATTCAGGTATACAGAGTCAGATTAAGATTAAAAATCAATTAATGAAATTGACCATATTCACAGAATAAAAGATAAAAATATTATCACCTCAATCTATGTGAAATAAGCATTTGATACAATTTAACACTAATTTATAGTCAAAACCTTTGCTAACCAAGCATAGAAGGGAATGTCATCAGTTTGATAAAAAATATTTAAATCATCTTCAGCTCATATCATATTTACTGGTGGATATTAAGATTTTTTATCTAAGGTAGGACAATTGTCACCAGTTTTATTCAATATTGGACTAGTTCTCCTAGGCAGTGGAATAAGAAAAATGTAATCTAAAAACAAACCATTAGTAGTAGTTAGTGAGTGTACCAAGATTACATTATACAAAGTCAATATACAAAAATCAATTCTATTTATATACTCACAACAAGCCATGAAAAATGAAAGTTAAAAACAATACTACTCATAATAGCATAAAACCATCAAATACCTACAAATAAGCGTATCAAAAGATGTACAACTTATACACCTGAAAGTACTAACTATGCAGAAAGAAGTTATGAATGACCTAAATAAGTTTATTCATCATATTTATAGATTAAACTACTCAATATTTTTGAGATGCCATTTTCCCCATATTAATCTATAGCTTCAAGGCTATCCCTATCAGGAGGGTTTTTTTTTTTAGAAATTGACAAGTTGATTCCAAAATGTATATGGAAATTCAAAGGACCTAATATAGCCAGGATAATTTGAGCAAGAAGCACAAGTGGAGGAATTACAACACAACTACCTTTAAGTCTTGCTGTAAAACTAGTCATTAAGGTAGTATGGCATTTGTATAAGGATAATTAAATAAGTCAATGCAACAGAATAGAGTTCAAGATTATAAAAATAATATGACATAGACATGTGATATATATGTTATGTAATAGATAATACATGTATATTCATATACAGGTATATTTCTGTATAATATATATGTATATCTACATATACAGGTATATTTCTATATACTATATAATATATGTATATTTATACATGTATATGTATATTTATACATGTATAATATATGTATATTTATACATGTATAATACAATCATATGAATCTTAACAAGGATACATTCTAAGAAATGTGTTGCTAGGTGATCTCATCATTGTGCAAATTCTACAAGTCTAAAATATGCCTACCCTATAGTGTATATAATTTAAGTTTGCTTTTATTAATGATCAAACTAATATTTTGAGATCCATCTGCCAGATTTCTGAGCTTATTTCTTAATTGTTTTAAAAATTCAGATTAGGGAAGAAAGGCATAATGTTTTTTAGGCTTTCGTAAGTGCCAACACAGAGATTTTTTTTTTTTTTTGAAATGGAGTCTCGCCCTGTCGCCCAGGCTGGAGTGTAGTGGCGCGATCTCGGCTCACTGCAAGCTCCGCCTCCCGGGTTCACACCATTCTCCTGCCTCAGCCTCCCAAGTAGCTGGGACTACAGGCGTCCGCCACCGCACCCGGCTAATTTTTTGTATTTTTAGTAGAGACGGCATTTCACCATGTTAGCCAGGATGGTCTCGATCTCCTAAGCTCGTGATCCACCCGCCTCGGCCTCCCAAAGTGCTGGGATTACAGGCGTGAGCCACCGTGCCCAGCTGAGATTTTTTTTTTAATCTGATTTTAAACATTCTTGTTTTTCCCAAATCCCATTAGGGCATCCTGCCATTAAGGGTGCCATAATTTAGTCCAGTGGGTCTCAAGTGGGGCAGTTTTGCCTTCTTAGGGGAACCTGGCAAAGTCTTAAGACATTTTTGATCATCACATTCAGTGCAACCAGTGTGTGGGGGGTTGGAATACTGGTGTCTAGTGCGTAGAGGCCAAGGATGCTGCTCAATATCTTACAATGCACAGAGAGGCCTCCCAAACCAAGAATTATCACCTAAAACGTCAGTAGTTCTGAGATTGAGAAACCCTGCTCTAACCTCTTTCTAGATTATATTCAACCTCCTAGTTCCTTATTTTCTCCTCTGAATTTTCCCAGCAACTATCCATTCTTCCATTATGCAGATAGGTTAGGCCCCTTGCTCTAGTTTAGATAAGATTTGTTTGTCTCCACCAAATCTTCTGATGAAATTTGATTCCTAATGTTGAAAATGGGTTCTAATGGGTGATGTTTGGTGTGCAGGAGAAGATCCTTCATAAATAGATTAATGCTTTCCCAGGGATGGGGGGAGTAAGTGAATTCTTATTCTGTTAGTTGCCATGAGTGCAGGTTGTTATAAAGAGCCTGTTACTGCCCCCCTCCCTCCCACAACTGTCCTGCTCTTGCTTGCTGTCTTGCTATGTGATCTCTGCACATGCCTGTTTCCTTTGGCTTTCTGCCATGAGTGGAAGCAGCCTGAGGGTTTCATCAGAAGCTGAGCAGATGCCAGTATCATACTTCTTGTACAGCCTGCAGAACCATGAGCCAAATAAACCTCTTGTCTTTATAAATTACCCAATCTGAGGCATTCCTCTATAGAAACACAAACTAACGAAGACGCCTATGTTCTGACATCTTGGTGCCAGGCAGCATGCAGTTTCTGCTGAAGGAGAAGGAAAGTATCACCATGCTACACCAAGCATGCGTTAAAGCATTTTCTCAAACAAAGACAGTGATCTCCCTAAGAGGAACTTAGGAGAGATTGTCTTAGGAGAAGTTTGTGCTGCACAAAAATTTTCCTATCTTAAGGTTCCTAAAATAAAAAATTTGCAAATTAACCAAGACTTATGGCAATAATTTAAATTAATTTTAATTCAAAACTCAATAGGTAGTAAAATAGTTGAAAACACTTTACAGAACACAGTTTAGGTCAATTTGGCTCAAAATAAATATGAACAGCACATATATAGTGCTGTGAATAGTAAGCTCACTAATTATACAAATATTACTCATAAATTTAGCATGTACTAAAATTAATGTGAGTAGAAATGCTAAAAAATAATGACCTATTTCAAAAGTGTTATAAATGATGACAATCCCCTCCCTTTGCAAAATACGAGGATATTGCTTTTGTGAGGCAAAAACATGCTTGGAGGAAGAATGTGTGGTGAGAGAGACTTTTGGTAGGAGATGTATTGATGTCATGTGAAATGACTATAAGAAATTTTCTGAATATGGTGTGCTAATGTTTTGCCTGCAAATAATTGAATTTTTATGAGAACCTAAAACACTGGAAAACTTTTGATGAGCTGGATGTTAAGTGTGGCCAGATCATCATGGTGGACACAGTTGGGACACAAGTCTTAAGAAAATCCATTTAAATCTTCTTTCTCAGATTCTAGGAAGTGGCTGAAAGCTGGCATTGCTAAATTGAATCCCTCAGCTACTTACTGTCTGGGAATCCAAATAGCTCCAAAGGCATCCTCTGACCCCAGTGGCAGGTGTCTGAGTCATTACCACCACATGGATTTAAATAGCAATTTAATTTCACGTGTTTGGACTGTTGCTTTTTTGTTTTTTAGTTCCCCCGTTATTTCAGGTCTGAACTGTCAAGGATACGTGATAAATGTGTCTTCGCCCAGCACAATAATCTTTATCACCAAAAAATGGTAATTTATTTCACACTTCATTACAGTTATCATTTAGTGAATTATTTTCAATGTTCAACTTAAAGTATCAGTAGATATTGATAAACACATAGAGGGCGTAGAAATATCATTTTTTTTCCCGAGCAGAGTATCTGACATTTCTTAGCTAATGAGAGATTAAATGAGAAAGCTGAGCACCGCATGGATCTTCTCTGCCTGTGAAGTATTGTTGATATTGTCAGTTCCAACATGATCTCAAAACAGCACTAAAGCCTCAGCAGGGACACAGCATACATTTAGAAACTGTCCATATCACATTTTTAAAAATCTTTTATACATAGGCTTAGTTACATAGAGGTTTTCTGAAACTCTTTTCTGATTATCCTGCTGTTTCACACCAAAATCTGTAATGGTTCCATTGTTTGAATTAAAAGGGGGAATCTTTCCTTTCTTCAAACTAGAATAAGACTCAATTTCTGAATTAATCACCAGTCTGTTAGAATATATAGAAACTAATATTTTTAATTAAAATTGCTTTTGTACATATTCTCTTTCTCCAATTAGATTATAAGCTCACTGAAGCCAGGCATGCTACCCTTTATAGGCATCTAGAAAATGTAGTTGAAAAGATTCAAACTCTTAGTGGTTATTGACTACTATTAGATTCATCTGGGAAGACTGCAGGAAAAAGAAAAGATCAAAAGAGAAATGGTCACTTTATAAGCAGAAATTAAAAAGAATGGAGAAAGTCTATCACTCTGAGGTCTTGAAAAATTAGACAATCTTACTACTTCTAGATATAAGAAATAACACAGGAAAAATATTTGAAACTGAGCCTTGTGGCAAATGTCGAACTGAGGTTGTGGTCTTATAAGTCTGTAGCTTCAGAGTGTCTACCACTGACTAAAGAGAGAGGTGTGGTGGGATTGGAGGATACAATAAAATTAAGCAGATTTGAGAATTACATCTGGAAAAAATACTTTATGTGTGAATATTGGTATTTAGAAGTAACTGGAAGAGGCCAGGTGCGGTGGCTCACGTCTGTAATCCCAGCACTTTGGGAGGCCAAGGTGAGCGGATCATCTGAGGTCAGGAGTTCGAGACCAGCCTGGCCAACATGGTGAAACCCCGTCCCTACTAAAAATACAAAATTAGCCGGGTGTGGTGGCACATGCCTGTAATCCCAGCTACTCAGGGGGCTGAGGCAGGAGAATCGCTTGAACCCAGGAGGCAGAGGTTGCAGTGAGCCGAGATCGCACCACTTCACTCCAGCCAGGGTGACAGAGCGAAACTCTGTCTCAAAAAAAAAAAAAAAAGAAGTAACTAGAAGAAAAAATCATCAACCTATTAAGTTTCTGTGGGAAACATATTGCCTAAAAATCCAAAATCTTGGACTACAAATTTCTTTGTTCAAAATTAAAAGACTCGGGTCCCCTATTCTTCCATGAGCAGGAGGATGTTCCACAATGCTACCTTCATGAGGAGGGCATATGCCCTAATGCCCACTTCAGATACAGCCATGGAGGATAATGAATAAAGATCCCCTCCCTAGTGATGGCAGAACCAGAAACTACAGAGACACATGGAAGATGGCATCTAATTAAAGGACTTTCCCACTGCCAGGTCAGAAAACTGTATAATGCCTACACTGTATAAAAATTTCTGACCAGCAACTGCTGAATGTCTTCCATTTCTCCCTTTTCAAATAGGGGTTTTATCGCAGCTCCTGTCCTTTGTCCATCCATGAAATATCGGGCATGTACATGGGGAGGAGTGGCAATAACTTACTTCTTCAGTTCACAAGTCTCTGGCCTTAGAGGAACTTTACACTCTCTGAAGGCTTTGAGCTGAATGTAGTAACTGGATGGAACTCTGGGTGTTGTTTCTAGGAAGGTGAGGAGTTAGCGGGTTCTATGCATGGGAGGAAGACTAAAATATGTTTTTGATGACAAGAGGGCAAGATGTGGCAGAAATAATGCTATATGTTTACCAAACCTATTTCATTTTCCAGCTGGGGCACAGAAGACATTTCTGTCTCTCCTGCAATTTGATTGGGCCCCGTGGCTTGGTTGTGGCTTATGTGTGCTGAAGTAACATATGCCGTTACCAGGCCTGGCCCATAAATATCCCCCACCTGACCCTCTATGCTACCTTTTCCCCTTGGAGACCGTGTGGTAAAGATGATGCAGCCTGCGATGGCAGAGTCTGACTCTCTACAGGACTATTTAAGCAGAACCCTTCAACTCTACCCCATTGACAATGACTACATTGAACTGTGATGGGAGGTAGCCCTAATTTTAATTGTGTTAAGCCACAAATTAGGAGTTGTTTGTTATTGCAGTTAGCATAGTCTGGTTAATATTTTGCTCTTAAGGAGTATTAGAAATAAAAGGTATGCTCACCATCAAAACAAAAAAATGCGGTACAAATTGTATGTGTTGTTACTGACATATGTACATATGTTTCAACAGAATTGTAATGGTAGTACATGTGTGGTATTTTTCACACACCCCTCAAAAAACATGTTGCTCAACCGGATGATTCTAGTAGGATTTAATTAAACAATATCCTGTGATATTGAGACTATTTTACCAATAGGTCTTTTTTTTTTCTTTTCTTTTCTTTCTTTCCTTTTCTTTCTTTCTTTTTTTTTTTGTGATGGAGTCTTGCTGCGTTGCCAGGCTGGAGCGAGTAGCTTGGACTACAGGAGTGTGCCACCACACTTTGCTAATTTTTGTATTTTTAGTAGGGGGGTGGTTTTACCATGTTGGCCAGGCTGGTCTCCAACTCCTGACCTCAGGTGATATGCCCACTTTGGCCTCCCAAAGTGCTGGGATTAGAAGCGTGAGCCACTGTACTCGGCCTACCAATAGGTCTTTTCTCTGTTTCTCTTCAGTGTTTCAAAGTCCGCAGGTGCTCATAGCTATATGATGGACAATGCCAAAATTATACCACACTGGAAATGAACTCCAGGACCATCAGCACAATAAATAACAAACTCGACAGAACCCATCAAGCTCACTCAGTCCAGGCCAACTACTCACATGAAAGACAAGTTGTAGAAAGCTTTCATTTTAGTGACCATAATATTGCATTCTGTATCATGCAATTTTACATTTACTTGTTAATTTGTCATTAAAATATTATTTATTATGCACCTACTGTGTGCCAGACATTATGCTAAGCCCTAAGGACACACTGATGAATAAAACAGCTGCCATCTTTTCTAGGAGTCTTTCTGAATGCTGGAAACACACTGCTGGAAACATTTGTATAAGTAGTCTGCTGGTATTTTGATAGTTCTACTGGAAAACATGTTAGAATATTTTGTATACCTTTCGCAAATATACAATGTAAGATTAATTATGACATTTCACAGATACCATCTCCTGTTGCATTTTTAAAGCTATAAGGACTACAAAGACTAACCTGGTGAGTTTATCTTGATTTACGTACTATTAGAATAGAGTTTGCATCAAGTAATTTTCAAAAATTCTAGTGCTATTCTTTACATTTTCTAAATTTTTGTTTTATTTTTTGGTATTGTATCACAATGTTATAAAAATAAACCATTGTCTCAAAAGCTAGCCATTAAAATATAAAAGGAATCTATAACAAATATTTTGAAAATGAAGTTTTACAGGAGACTCAATCCATTTTCCCTGAGTCCTCAGAGGATTGTTTATTATGAAGCTTTGTCAATGAGCAGCATAAATTCATCAAAGATTTCTTGTCATTTTCAAAGCACAGTGACCTTTCTTATATTCCAATAATCTTCCCAGAGTAAGGTAAAATAATGCATTTCTATGTAAAAAGACATCATTCAAAGGTACAAAACCAGATAAAAGTCACAGTATTGCTAAGAAGTTGTAAAACCCACATACTTCATGAAAACTATTTCAGAGAAAGGGCAAAATGATCATTTCATAAAATTCTTTAATCTGAAAGCAGACTTGAATATTGTATCAGTGGCATGCAATATGGAGGTTTAATTATTTTCTATGTACTAACGGATATTTTATATTGACATTTGAGAAACTGACTTTTGGTTTAAATAACGATTACTTTGAAAAACACAATATAAACTGGCAATAACATTTGGTTATTTAAACTGTCTGATCAACAAAGAAAGGTATTGCCACATGAACAAAAGAGGTTGCACAAAAATGATAATCTATTTACCACGTTGATTAGAGAAAACAGTTGGAAGTCAAAAATACATCTCTTCATCTTGAGTCACTGATGAAGAAAATAATTAAAATTTAAAATACAATCACACTTTGCCTCTAAAGGTATGCTTTTTCTGCATGGTCTGCACATCCATGCTAGAATATGCTATCAAGAGTAGGTACTCACATGAGTATCTGAAAGGAGAAAAGATAATATTTACTTTAAAAACATTTTTTTTCAGGTGAATGATGATGCCATTGGAATATTCAGGATTCTGAGTAATATAACCTAATATTTTAGAACGAAACCATTATGGGTTTAAGCACAAGACTATCAGAATTTCTCAAAAGAACTGAACTTCTCCTAAATTACTTCATTGCCAAGAGATTGACTTTTTACTGTCACTCTTTCAAAGAACCAATCGTGTATTACTAGAAATATTTAGGAATATCATCACATGTTTCAACAGAACATTAACAAATCTTTCCCAATACAGAGTGCATTGAGAGATTGATTAAAAAGCATCTTCTATTACTATTCAAGTTAAGACTCTCCGACTACATTCTTCTGAATGTGATGTGGTCAACACTTAGCATCTGACAAAATGTTGAGCGGTCTTCAGTGAAAATGAATAAGGACTGTCGGGTTCAATCCAAATAGCCAGAATGATCTGACAGACATGTCAAATACTTACAGCCTTTCTCAAATGTCTTTCATTTCAACAAAGTTTTCTAGTTGAGGGGAAATTGAGAAGCGGCAGAAACTGATCTGGTTAAAGTCATCCACTATCAAAACCAAGATAGAAACAAACACTAACAACTACAAATTTTTATTGGGTTAGTTAAAATTATGGTGGACCTATTAAAATATCCAAAATAAATGATTTATTTTTGTCAGGCTTCTGTTAAGGAGGCTTTAGATAGACTGCTGCTGACTGCCCCCATCCAGACCCTAATGATCTTGCAGAGAAGTCTTCAAGCCCAGCCTTGGCAGCTGTCTAGCAGACCTTTCAGACTCTATGGCTGTCTTTACTTCCTACTCTCTTTGTTGGTTCCCAGAAGCTTAGATAATTAACCAAGACCCAAGAGCAGGAAGAATCAACACTACATATATCTAATCCAGTTTGCCTCACATCACACAACCCTTTCTCTTTAGGAACATTTTTAGTTTGGGACCAAGCTTCTCATTCTCATTTTTCTTTGGCTGGGGCATTTGCTTTAGCCAGAGAACAATGCTCTGAGGCAAATGCATATGCTCCAAGAGGCATGAGCCCTGTTTAGAAGCCCCTTTTGAGTTAAGCTGTCATTAGCCAAGATGTTTGTGAACGTAGGTGATAGGGATTCTGATGACAGATACAACTGAACACCCATGACAATACAAATATGTTCCAATAGTCAGAAATTCAGGCCAGGCGTAGTGGCTCATGCCTATAATCCCAGCACCCTGGAGGCTGAGGCAAGAAGATTGCTTGAGCCCAGGAGTTTGAGGCTACAGTGAGCCATGATCATGCCACTGTACTCCAGCCTGGGTGACAGAGTGAGACCCTTTTTCAACAAAACAAAACAAAACAAAAACCTGCCGGTTGGTTTGCATTCAGATCCAGTACCATTTCTGCACAAAGTAGATATATCATATGGGGGCCAAAGCAGGAAAGAGATGACATCTCCAAAAGGATTTTACTGAAAATAAATTTACTAAATGAACCACTTACAGAGGCGTGATTAGGGCTATAGGATGTTACATGGTGAGACATCTAGACACCAGCAATAATGCCATTGTCACCTAGGCCTGAAGGAGACGGAACTGGGTTCCCAGAGCCTGGTGAAAGCTGGATCTCCTGACCACAGTCTCAGCCATACAGAAATGCAACTGTTGCCAGAACATCAGCCAAGCATGGGAAGAGTGTGAAGATTAAATACCCCCAGCTCTCTTTCTTCCTGCTCTCCAGGGTCTTAATCAGTTCTTCCAGTTGGCCAAACCCAACAGGTAGACTGAGGGAAAGGATGCGTGAGCACTGATTAGTCTTCTAGTACTCAGATGAGCACACAGAAGACAGTGGCTGCAAACTAACAAGCCATGTTGTCCCTGGATACTTTCTATCTTTCAGGTTTCTGGTTTCTCTGTGGAAAGGGTTTAAACTTCTCCTTGCTTGAATGGCTCTTTCTGCCTGACCGCACTGCACTCTCCAGGATCCCGAACACAGCCTGACATTCAGCTGCAACCTTATTAATAACCCAGAACCCCAGTTCCTTAATGCTGAGATGTGGCATACATTTATTTTTGAATAAATTGTTCACTGGCAACATTGAGTTTAAGAAGAAGGGTGAAAAATTACTTGGAGAAGAAGACTTCCAGTCCTCTAATTATATCTCAATTACAGTATTTGTCTGTCCTCAAGCTTACCAATCAGACCGTGCAATTCTTATGAAAAGTGGACAATATTCAATGGAACATTTAACCTTTTTATACTATAAATAATCATGAAACACAATCACTACTACTTACTTAGCACCCAGCAAGTTTTCAGCATAAATACTCCTGAGTCTCATAAAGTAAGTATTATCAATTCCATTGTAAAGATGAGACAACCAAGAATCAGACAGCTTCTGTAACTAGCCTAAGGCCACACAGTAAAGAGCTAACCATTTGTGAAAGACTATTCAGGGATTTGCATGTCAGTTTTCACCATACAGATTTTGGGTCGATGATTATAGGCTCCTGGAGAGGTCCTTCCTCTCCAACTATGACTAGACCAAAGGCTACCTGTATAAATAATGGAAATACTTCATCATATGAAGGAGGTTTTTTTCTTCAGCAAAAGAATGCTTATTCATCTCTTCAATATAATTTTAATGAGGTCTTTCTGGCAACTCTATTGTAAATTAGATAATCCACCTCTTGCCCCAACCTCCTTTGTCTCTCTCCCTCTGCCATCTTTCCTAGCCCCCTTTTATTACTTATTGATTGTTTTCTCTCCTTATTAGATTGGAAGCTCCATGAAGGCAGAGGTTTTCATCATATCCCTGGTACTTAGAATAGCGCCTGGCATATATTTCAAATATTTGTTGAAAGAATAAATATTAACTAATTCTACCAAGATCCTTATCCTTAAGAATCCCAGAAAGTGTTATCTTTGGCTGCTTATACTGTAGTAAGACTCACACAGGACTAATGACTTTTTTTCTGTATTTATGTTCAATAAAAAGTAGCCTGAAGTCTGATAATAAACTTTGTTAGCAGTAATAAATACATCAGAGAAATTTCTGCTGATTAGTCTTTCTGTCGTTCTGATATTAAAAATAACCTTTTATTATCTTCTCTTCTCCGAGATCTCTGTTTTCTGGCATTTTCTTGATCAAATCTCATCCTATATAGCTGTCCAAGTCTATTTGCCCTTGATAAATGTATATGGTGTGGAGTGGAACATTTTCAGAAATGGGAGTGTAATCAGTGGAGGTCTCTGACTACACATTGTTGGTGGCATAATTAAGTAGAATTGTGGGTTTGTATTTATGTGAAGTACACAGGTGCAGAAAGGATGGGCTGTGTACAGAAATATGCAAATAAATAAATGTTTAATTTCATTTTGAGGGTCCAAATACCTATCCGAAGTTAACTACAAATGAGAGGACTTCTTCATAACCTACAGAAGCTTTTTTAAAGTCCTAATTATGCACACTTTTTAAGAAGTGCCAAATGGTGATTATTTGAAAGGAGCTAGGAAGGAGCCAAACCTTGAAAAGTACATAACTTTCTCTAAGTCAAAACTGAGTGTGCATGCACATATTTAGTTTTAACTACAAAAAAAGGGTCTCTTTTTCTTATCCATAAAATATGAGGTATTCTGATCTTGGCTTTTTCTTTTTTTGACACTGAGCATAAAAAATTAACCTTAAAAGAAAGTCACAGATATATACCAACCTTAACTCTGCTGGTAATTAATGTTATCAGAAGGCCTAGCAGGATTATTCAGCAGCCTTTTTATCTCTGTATGATGAGTGGCTTCAAATAGCCTCCCATTTCTCATTGCCAGTTGGATGTCATCTCAAAACTGAGTAATAGCAGCAACTGTTCCTGGTAAAAATACTGCAGCCTCTTCCTTCAGAGTATGAAGTAAAGAAAGAAAAGCAGCTACATAATTATCTAATGATCAGTTTTTTTCCAAAGTAGTTGGAAGGTCAAAATTAGCTGGGAAAGGAGTACCAGAATGTTTTTCTGCTTTGACAGAAAGCACAAAACGTTTTCGTTAAACCCTTTTTATGTAAATATTTTCATATTATTTGTTTCTGTACACATGGACACACAGATATTCACAATTATTGCACACCATTTTGAATTTGGAAAGAAACAATCTCTGCATTCCTCAGCCATGTATGTTAGCATTGCCTGAAATGTTTCAAGGAGAATTGATTTTCAGGCTGTACTGCACTGTAGTGTACTCCTTTCTTCTAAACCCCAAATTTGAGCTTATAATAGATTTAAAAGGGAGCTGGAAAAGGAACTGCAGGAAAAAATGTAAAGTTTTTGCTAAAATGTCTCCAAGAGGCTTTATAGACTTTGCAGTGCAATTCCTTTGAGAGGACAAGCCACAGCGTGCATGCCCACAGTCATCGATGATGACAGTTGATGCTAAATATTATCAGATGACATATTTAACTTTGTGCAGATATGTAAATGACTTTTATCTTTTCCAAAGCTACCTATAAAATCATGTCTTCTGAATGCAATTCCCATCATTTTCAAAGTACTTTAATTTTCTATATTGCTACTGAAAATCAATTTATCAGACAAATAACACAACTTCTAGCTTTAGTGGATGTATGAGGTAAATGCTTTTATTTATTTAGAGACAGAGTCTCACTCTGTCACCCAGGCTGGAATGCAATGGCACAATTCTGGCTCACTGCAACCTCCACCTTCTAGGTTCAAGCGATTCTCTGGCCTCGGCATCCCGAGTAGCTGGGATGACAGGTGCCCACCACCACGCCCAGATAATTTTTTTGTACTTTTAGTAGAGACTGGGTTTCACCATGTTGGTCAGGCTGGTCTCGAACTGCTAACCTCAGGTGATCCACCTGCCTTGGCCTCCCAAACTCCTGAGATTACAGGTGTGATCCACTTTGCCTGGCAGTAAACCCTTTTTATTTTAAGAATTAAGAATACTTTGCATCATTTTGTTCTCAGTATTATAAAAGATAAAGGAAATACTATAAATGAATACACATGGGAGTATTTCTAAAAGGCTTTTGAGCAATTTTCTTAGGATTGAAAATGGAAATATGCAAAATCATTCCACAGCTTCCACAAAAAGAAGTAGGGTAACAAATGTTACCCTACTGACCAACTCTGGCAGTTAAAGAATATATCCTGCTATCATCTGTAGTAGGATGAGGAAAAAAAACATCGTTGCTATATGATTTCATTTTTACTACAAATCAGGAAACATAGAGCCCATGGTTTGAAATTAGAGGGTTTTTAAAAACCATATTTTAATGGCTTATGACAGCTATTATATAAACAATCATTATTTGGGAAAATATTTTAATGAAGCTTTTTTCCTTTTCTCTCACAAGCTAAATTGTTTGTTATTTCTGAGAGTAAAACCATTCTACTTGTTAGATAATTTACAGTAAACACACATCCTCTTAATCACATCACAGAAGCTTAAATGGATTTGTAAAACCATTAAAAAATCAATACTTAGCTTTTAGGTGATGAATTAATTAATAGAGTGTGAATGCTTGAAGTCTGCATTACCCAGAATGCACTAGGGCTTTTCATAACATCACTGTCAATGGGAACAGTATACAAAGTAATGTATGTGATGTAACTAGTTGGGAAGTGCTGATAAAAATCTATCAATCCCTGCTTCCCAGTGAGAATATTCCGGTAAAACCTGTTTTCTGGTAGGAAAAATAATGGAGTTATTTTTCATTTACATATAGTGATGAGAGAAAACAGTGTTGCTGATAAATAAAACACAGAGAAAAGATAATCAGAGGGTATGTCACCTCTTTCTCATTGGCCAGGCATTGTGTGATAACCCGCACAATGGCATGATAGGAAACTGTGAAGGGCTGTAGGGATCAGAGTTGTTTTCCTCCATAAAATTTTTTTAAAGTATTCTTTTGCAAGTAAGTCATGTTTTCCTAATTTCATTTGGGTTTATTTTATCCTATCCATCTTCCAGTGCTTCTTTCCACTTTAAAATTTCCTCCTCAGGCCGGGAGTGGTGGCTCACACCTGTAATCCTAGCATTTTGGGAGGCCGAGGTGGGCGGATAATGAGATCAAGAGATCGAGACCATCCTGGCCAACATGGTGAAACCCTGTCTCTGCTAAAAATACAAAAAAATTAGCCAGGCGTGGTGGCAGGCGTGGTGGCACGCACCTGTAGTCCCAGCTACTCGGGAGGCTGAGGCAGGAGGATCGCTTGAACCCTGGAGGCGGAGGCTGCAGTGAGCTGAGATTGCACCACTGCACTCCAGCCTGGGTGACAGAGACTCCACCTCAAAAAAAAAAAAAAAAACAAAAAAACCTCCTCAATTACATCCAGTCTACAGGGAAGTATAATGAGATGCTGGACCTTGACTTCAAGAATTTGCACTCTAGTTGAAAAATAGTATAAAATCCACCATTACTAACAAAAAGGTAATTAGAAAAGAGAGTTTTATGTTTTGAAGGGGTAAAACATATGTAATTTTGAGGTTAATCTTTTGTAAAAAAGAACACCCATTTATGAATATAAATTAAATAGGAATGCTTCCACTTTGGGTTAAGATTTCAGCCAGACCTAGGATCTCATTGAAAACAACTTTTAAAGCCAAGAATATGGTCAGAAAAAAGATCTGCTTAAAGATTTTGGTGAACTGTTGTGGCAACCAAGACTTGGGGGAAAAAACAATCTCTGAGAAAGGGGAACAATGTAGTGTGAAGAATCAGGGCATTTGCTGACTGTAGCTTAGAATCCAAAGCCTTGTGTAGAGAACCTCTACCAAGAGACAGAACAATGAGGAGAGAATTTTGGTAATCTGTGGAAACAGAGGGATAAAATTATAATCCTGTGGAGATAAGACCCTAATTAAGACAGAAATCAGTAGCCAAAGATAATTTTAAAAAAAGTAACTTTTTGTATGTTAAGCTGTTGGTCAAATAAGAAATTAAAAAGAAATAAAAACATTTAAAACTAGTTGATGATAAAAAAAGACATATCGAATTCTGAAGCAGCTGAAGCTAAGAAGAAAATGTGTAGTCTTGCATTCATGTATTAGAAAATTGAAAGCCAAAAATTGGTGAACTAACCAGCTACTTCAAGAAATTAGAAAAAGGACAATAAATTAATCTCAATGAAAACAAAAGGAAGAAAGAATATATAACAGCAGAACTGACTAAAGTACAATAATTAAAAAAAATCAATAGCCAAAATATGATTCTTTGAAATGAATAATTAAAATTGGTCAACCTACAGAAAGACTAAGTGAGAAAGAAGAAGTTCCACAATCTGTATGTGAACCTGTGAGAGAAGAAACTAATGATCAATATCAAGAATAAAAGGGAAGACATCATCAAAGATCCCTCAGATATTTAAAATATAATACAAGAATATTATAGACACCTTATTTGAAAAAATAGACATTTAGACGAAATGGATAAATTACTAGAAAAATACAGTTTATCACCTCTGAAAGTAGAAGAAAATGCAACTACTATATATTATATATACTAATATAATAAAATCTACAATTAAAATCTTATTCTCTGGTTGCCTCCCAATATATACAATGTCATACTTAATAAATAGCAAAAACCTTAGACATAATTTTCCAGAGAATAAAAAAAGCAAGAGAGATCATTCCAGAAGCTGAATTATTATTAGCAAAGAAATTTTTAGGTCCATCTCCTTCATGAAAATAGATGCTGAAATCTTAATCAAAAGAATACCTCAAAGTGTGGAAAAATCATTTGATAAAATTCAACAACTTTCATGATGAAAACTCTTAATAAACCTAAAACATGTGTTGTGATGGTGTATCTAGATTTTACAAAATAATCTATAAACCATTAGAATGAATATGTGAACTTAAATGGTGGTTTGATAGTGTTATAAAAATAAAAAATATTACTTAGCAGTAAAAAACTATAGAGAATAAAATTTAAAAAGCAATAACATTTTAAAAGGAATCTTAACAAAAGATGCATAAAAATTACAATACACTATTGAGAAAAATTAATATTTAGAAAGACAGAGGAAATTAACATTTCATGCATTGGAGGACTTAATATATTTAAAATGGTATTTCTCCATGAGCTGATATATAGAATTAAGCTCAATCTAAATTTTATATAAATGGAATTAATAATAAAATATATAGGGATTTTAAGTCTGGGTTCTTTCACTCAGCATAATGCATTTGTTATTTATTTATTTTGTCTCGTTTTATCTATATAGTTGTTGTTTATGGTAGGAGGGTAAATCTGGTTGCTGCTACACCATCTTGAACAGAATTAGAAGTCTCTTCTACTGGTATTTTGGTTTTGAAACTTCTACTATTTTCATTGTTATTTTAATCTAGAAACTTTCAGATGTTTAAAATTAATTTAAAATTTTGACTATTCTGCTAAAGTATGATAAAATGAAATGCTTTAACCCCAATTACCCCCTTCTGATTTATATGCTATGTTATTATATGCATTTGATTCCATTGTTTTTATTATCTCTCCAGAGTAGGTATTACTATTATATTTGTTTATATTTACCCAATAAGTAGATACATTTGTGAAGGTCCTTTTTTGGGTATACAATTTTAAAAATGTCTTTACCATCCCTTTTAAATATAATTTATCTGGTATATAATTCTTTCATTGCAACTATTCTGCTTGGGCTTTCTGAATCTGAGTATTCCAGGTCTTCCTCTTTTAAAATGTAGGTATTGCTCAGGAGCTTTTTCTTCAGGAGTTTTATGTTTTCTGTAGAGCTGGAGGATAGAATGTGGTGGAAAGTCGAGAGGAGGAGGGCCCACTTTGCCCCGACATCCCATTTGGATTGGGTGCCATGTTTTTACCTCCTATGCCTCTGTCTGCCATTACAATTTAGATCTGGCAGCTCTCAAGGAAGGTGCTAGTTCCAGAGTTTGTTTACCTCCATTGACTCACACTTTCACCTTTTTTTCTGCCCTCAAAGATTTCCTTTCCTTCCTGTCAGCTAAGCAGAGCATTTAAAGAGATTTTAAAACAAAATCATTTTGGATCAATTTCAGTTTTTGGAAAACTTTCCAGACAAAGTTTCTGGAAGTCCAGTCTGCCTCATTACCAGAAAAGGTATCATGGGAAGAACTTGTGGGTTCTGTTTGTGCACAGGTTTGTTTACCCTATTAGACTATAAACTCTATCCAGGTTGAGACTGTGTTTTAGTCTCAACACAGACTTTGAAAAGAGTAGTTGGGGGAACCATGGTTGACGCAATTTTTGAAAAGGAGTGAGTAGCCAACATTTTAAAATCTAGAGGAGAAATAAGGCATCCAAGAATGAAGACAGGTCATAGGACACAAAAGTTAGGAGGTAATTTTGAAAGAACACTTTCTGAAAGGTGGTAGAGAGAAAAGGTATATAAAGAGGTGAGTGGAGGAGTAAAAGTTAAATGGTAAAGTAACTTTTCCAAATATTATGAGAATAAGGAGTAACGATGATGAGGATGAGAGCTTGACAAGGAAGGATAAGAAAAAAATGTAATATGAGAGATCTTTAATCCAAGCTGAGTGGCAGATCCAATGAAGAGTGAGAAATTAAGCTAGAGGAAGAATAAGTAATTAATGGAACAAGTTCAGAGAGGAGGTAGAAAAAATATGAGATCACGAGAATAGTTAGAATGGTTAGCTTCAAAACAGAACAGAGAAAGAAAGATTGTGTGGACCCATAATTCAGTTAAGAGAGGCAAGAAAGGTTGAGCAAAATATTACCTGTTGGGAACTATGTTCTCATTTATGTATAACGTATTTCTCAAGCACTACATAAAAAGGATTAGAAGCAGCTGGAACATTGGTAAAATGACAAGAAACTGCATCTGAATAACTTAATTGGAACAGCTGCAAGAAAATTTATAGCAATAAATAGTTAACATTGAATTCTGTATGAAACTATAACAAAGAGAAAAAGGCTTGGGGAATAGGTCCATATGACTCAAAAGAAAATATCTAGATTCTCATTTATTTTCACTTAGCACTCCCATTTGAGAAGTGCATAACATTAGTCTTTCATCATGTAATAATAGTAACACCTACCAGGTTATCCTAGGTTTGTTAGGAGTTGTGATTTGAGATATGAAGGCAAAAATTGTGAGTCTCTTCTGAGGCCTGAGTGGAAGCATCTCTGTCCCTCTAATTAGATGGAGGCAAGAGTCAAGACTGAGTTTTGCCTGATTTTCCCAGATGTGGAGACCCAGGGACTCAATGTTGAATTTCAGTGTACAGGGAAACTTCAATACACGGTGCCACATCTGCTGCAAAGATTCTAAATCAGGTCATGAAAAATGTAAGAAGAATTCTTAAATGCGCCAGACCCAGAAAAGATTGATGATTAGATTTCACAACAGACTTCACTAACATTTCAGGTATAATTTACATTTGAATATTTTTTCCTGACACAAAATTTAATATAATATTCAAGTTAAATAATGTCCAAGGCATTCTTTGAATCATTGACAAGAAAGTATATATTTTGTACAGGCCCTTTTCTACCCTTAGATTTTTCACAATTCATTCTTTTAGATAGAAAAGAAATACATGCCCCTGAATATCCACTCACTGAGTCACTGAAAGGCAATGGCCCAATACAAATATTGTAATAAAAGATGAAGCTAAGAAGGACTAAATAAGAAGCAAAGATCAAATGGAAAATGTTCTTTTCAAAATGAAACACTTAGTCCAGGAAAGCCTGGGGTGTCAAACCTTGAACCTGAGAAGAGCTTGGCTCTGAAACCTTGGCTTCTAGTATGAATGTGTCTGCTACTCTCTGGGTGGCTCCATGGGACATATACTTCTGAAGTGTGGAGAAATAAAGAAATTGCAGCCTGAAATGTAGAGCTGTCTGAAGACAATGTCTTGTTCATCAGCCCACTCCAGGTTACCATTATCTAACTTTATTATAATTTCAACCCCAGGACCAGAAACCATACTGCTCTCTTTGGGCCCACTGTGGGGTTCTCTCTGTGGAGCACCCCATTTGATATACACTTACTTTTATGATTATTTCTATTGCAATGCAAGTATTGTGCCCTGGTTGCTCAAAGTATCATCAACTAGCAACTAAATGGACCCTGTTAGTAAATGCCAGGGTAACTAAATCCTCTCAAGGGAAAACAAGCATTATTGTAGAAGGGGATTATTATTTTTTAGGGGAAATAATTATTATCTTTTAGGGGAAAAATGGTTTCATAGAAAGGAGTGGCTGTAATAAGGGTAATGTCAGAGCTGGGATTAACTAGTGGGAAAGAAAGTACTGATTGAGACAGTTCTTGTGTCTATTGTTGTTCCAGACTTTCAGGTGAAGAGGAGGAATTTCAAATTTTAAGGCTATTGAGCATGCATTTTGCACCAAGCACTGCGTTTGTCCTTTACCCTGCATTATCTCTTTTAACTCTCCCTCAAACAAGTGAAAAAATGAGCCACAGAGTTTCGGTAACTTTTCCATAGAGTATTTAAATTCATGTGTGCTTGCAACTTAAGTCAAATCATGTTAATTCTCTGCTTATGATACTCCAGTCATTTCTAGTAACACTTAGGAAAGTAAAATTCAAAGTCCCTACTGTATTCTACAGGGACTTACATTGCCTGGTCTCTGTCTATATCTCTGTCTCTATTTTCTACGATTATGTCCTTCCTGTCTTTAGCCACACGGCCAGCTTTCTATTCTTTGAGCATACAAGCTTGCTTACACACATCATCTTTGCATTTTCTGGTCCCACTGGCTGGAAAGCTTTTCCCCCAGATATCTGCCTAGCCTACTCCAGTCTCTACTCAAACATCTCCTCCTCAGAGAGGGCTTCTCTGCTGCACTATATACAAGAACACACACTACGCCATATCATGCTCAATTCTTTGGCCCTACTTTATTTTTCTTTGAGGCCTTTTCACTGTATGTTATCATATTATACCATAACATATCATATTTTTATTTTATTACATTTTCTACTAGAATGTAAGTAAGCTCTGGGGATGAAGGCATTTTGCTTCATTAGTGCTTAGAACAACATCTGGCTTTAGTAGGTACTCAACAAATGTTGACTATAAGAATAAATTATATGACTGGTTTTCTCTCTGTAGTCTTATGCACTATTTTGGTGCCATAGTAATATTGTTTTATACCTGTTGCTAATGTTTACTGGGTGCTTGTTACATTTGAGGCATGAATTAAGTGTCTTACAAACTTTATTACATTTAATTTTCACCAATGTACTACTTCATTTTATATAAGGGAATTGAGCATTTGCAGAATTTGATATCCACGGGGGTTCTGGAACCAATCCCCTGGGTATACCCGGAGATGACTGTACTCACATAAAGGCAGATGAATGAGAAACTATTATTATTATCCCAATTGTTCATATAACATATGATTCTCACAAAAATTAAATAATAGATCACAAAACGAATAAGTGGAGTAGCTGGGATTTGAAACCAGGTATGTGTGACTCTGGTTCCATCCCTAAAACCACTGTAGACAGTCATGACTGAGTTGTATTAATGATGATTTTACTATATCCATCCCTATTAGGAATCAGTGATCTAGCCCAACTCCTCATACAGACAAGAAACATGGAGGCCTATATTTAAGAATAGGAAACAGAGCAAGATCTAGAGTCTTTATTTCAGTATCTTTTCCTGCACATGCCATATTGGCCTGTGACTAATAAAGAATTTGTTGAAGAATGTTAACTACTAATCAAGAGGGAAAAATATTTAGGTACTTCCTGACAACACTAATCAAAATACCACATTCAGTGGCAAATTCGTAAGGAAAGTATGGAAATTCACATTTGGAAGTGTGAACAATATTTGGATGAAATAAGAATCCTTTAAATATAAACTTGAAATTAACCCACAATATTTGTGAGATTTTAGCACATTCCTGGTTGACACAGGCAGACTCTTGTCAATCAAAAATAGACTTCTGTCCAGTTCATAACCATTTTTAATACATTTAAATAACATGACCCAAATAAATGAGAAACTCACTCCATTGCTTATTTCTTCATAAACAATGTACACCCTTGAAGATGACTATTCTCAGCTGTTGGAGCAAATTTCAATATAGTTTACTCACAGAGGTTGAAAATAGCATCAACATTCTGGTATATTAAAGGATAATCATCATCCAAAGTCATAATATAATGGCTGAACACATAAAAATAAAATATAGATCAGGCACAGTAGCTCCTGCCTGTAATCCTAGCAGTTTGGGAACCCGAGGAGAGAGGATCGCTTGAGATCAGGAGTTCCAGACCAACCTGGACAACATAATGAGACCAGGTTGCTACAAAAGGTAAAAAAAAAAAAAAAAAAAAAAAAAAAAAAAAGCAGGACATGGTGTCATGTGCATGTAGTCTCAGCTACATGGGAGGCTGAGACAGGAGGATTGCTGGAGCCAGTAGGTCAAGTCTGCAGTAAGCTATGGTTGTGCCACAGCACTCCAGCCTGGGTGACAGAGTAAGACCTTGTCTCTATATATTTTTTTAATTCTATTATTATTATACTTTAAGTTTTAGGGTACATGTGCACAACGTGCAGGTTTGTTACATATGTATACATGTGCCATGTTGGTGTGCTGCACCCATTAACTCGTCATTTAGCATTAGGTATATCTCCTAATGCTGTCCCTCCCCGCGTCCTCCACCCCACAACAGTCCCCAGTGTGTGATGTTCCCCTTCCTGTGTCCATGTGTTCTCATCGTTCAATTCCCACCTATGAGTGAGAACATGTGGTGTTTGGTTTTTTGTCCTTGCGATAGTTTGCTGAGAATGATGGTTTCCAGTTTCATCCATCTCCCTACAAAGGACATGATCTCATCATTTTTTATGGCTGCATAGTATTCCATGGTGTATATGTGCCACATTTTCTTAATCCAGTCTATTGTTGTTGGACATTTAGGTTGGTTCCAAGTCTTTGCTATTGTGAATAGTGCCGCTATAAACATATGTGTGCATGTGTCTTTATAGCAGCATGATTTATAATCCTTTGGGTATATACCCAGTAATGGGATGGCTGGGTCAAATGGTATTTCTAGTTCTAGATCCCTGAGGAATCACTACACTGACTTCCACAATGGTTGAACTAGTTTACAGTCCCACCAACAGTGTAAAAGTGTTCCTATTTCTCCACATCCTCTCCAGCACCTGTTGTTTCCTGACTTTTTAATGATCGCCATTCTAACTGGTGTGAGATGGTATCTCATCGTGGTTTTGATTTGCATTTCTCTGATGGCCAGTGATGATGAGCATTTTTCCATGTGTTTTTTGACTGCATAAGTGTCTTCTTTTGAGAAGTGTCTGTTCATATCCTTTGCCCACTTTTTGATGGGGTTGTTTGTTTTTTTCTTGTAAATTTGTTTGAGTTCGTTGTAGATTCTGGATATTAGCACTTTGTCAGATGAGTAGATTGCAAAAATTTTCTCCCATTCTGTAGGTTGCCTGTTCACTCTGATGGTAGTTTCTTTTGCTGTGCAGAAGCTCTTTAGTTTAATTAGTTCCCATTTGTCAATTTTGGCTTTTGTTGCCATTGCTACAGTAACCAAAACAGCATGGTACTCGTACCAAAACAGAGATATAGACCAATGGAACAGAACAGAGCCCTCAGAAATAATGCCACATATCTACAACTATCTGATCTTTGACAAACCTGACAAAAACAAGCAATAGGGAAAGGATTCCCTATTTAATAAATGGTGCTGGGAAAACTGGCTAGCCATATGTAGAAAGCTGAAACTGGATCCCTTCCTTACAACTTATACAAAAATTAATTCAAGATGGATTAAAGACTTACATGTTAGACCTAAAACCATAAAAACCCTAGAAGAAAATCTAGGCAATACCATTCAGGACATAGGCATGGGCGAGGACTTCATGTCTCTATATTTTTTTTAAAAGAATATGGATGGATGAATATATAACTAGACAAAGTTAGGTATTTATACATTTTTATCTCAAGTTTATTATTTTAAATATAAGAGGATTCTCATCCAGGGATTCTCATTTAGCATATTTACTGATTACCTCCCAACATGGCAAAAGTTGAACTTAATGTTAATCTCTGTTCTCTCCTTAACGTACATTAAAATGACCTTTAAAAAGATAAAAGAAGCACAAATACATAAGGAAAAATAGAACTAAAGGAGACATCAGAACACTAAATAGAGATTAGAAGCATGGGGAAATAGACATGTACTAGCTGATTTATGGAACAGAAAAGCCAGCTAAGCCTGCAGAAGGGATGCAAGGGGGGAAAGGAGGCCCAGAAGAAAGCTGGTATTGCAGCAGAATCCCAGGCATGCTCAGGGATTAGATGCAGCTCCTGTAGCTGAAGGTGGGAGTCAGGGCTGTAACCAGGAAGAAAGATGAAAGGCTGAAATAAAAAAGCCTTTCGACCCCCAGATGATCTGTCTAGAATTATGAGTCCAGTGACCATCCTTCCTCTACTCCAGCAGATGCCTGGACATTTGCCATGGACCAAGTTGACCTAGGTGGGCTCTGGATTTAGAGGAGGATTTAGAGCATTCTAAATCCTTCCCCTGTCTTGCAAGGGCTGGAAACTTGGACCTGCTTCAGGAAGTCCTTGCCAGCCAAACTCTGGATTAGATTCAACAGCAAGAGACATTTGCCCATGATCTGGCAGGCTGCTGAGACCTGTATGATTATAAGGGCTAATCAGTTTTTGGGTCTGGATTGAGACTTCACAGTGGCCTTTGAATGTCTCACTGAAAATCTCCCACCGCAGGTCTGGAAAGAGCTGCAGCTCCTCAGGCTCCTAGATTCCCTGAAATCTAGTGGAGGAATTCACTAGATGGTTGTCCTTCCTCTAGCCCTTTTTATGATGTTTAAACACCTAATTTCTGCATTAAATCACTCTCTACTCATAGTACCTCAAGTAGTTTTCGTATCCCAAAGAAATTTTCACAAAGGAGGTAAACAAGAAGAATTTCCATTAGAGCACTTGTGTGTGCCTGCATGTGTGCGTTAGTAGAGAATTGGAGGCGATCCAAGTGTTTGTCACTAGAGGAATTAAGTAAAACATTGCGTGTGTAGTGATACATGTATCAGCTGGAAACACACTATACCTATATACTCAGATATATCATAAGGATGTAGTATTTAGTGAAAACGAGATGAAATGAGATTGATAGTACACTACCTTTAAATAAAGGAAAGCATGAAGACAGACAAGACAATACTGCACATTTTACAAGGAAGCTGTAGCATAGTACATTGTAATGGTGTATCAATCAGAGAGAAGCAGATGGGAGTTAGGACCAAGTGTGGATGCTGCCACTTGTACAGCCCAATAATAATGACGCAATCAACCGAGGGCTAAAATTCTCCTCACCTTCAGTCTGTTTCCCTCTCATGCTTCCACACCCCATCCCCCTGCCCCCGCCACCCACTACTGCAACACACACACGCGATGAACTGAAATTTGGCATCCACTTTGGAACTGTTGTCTACTGTTGGTTGAGTCCAGGGTTGATCTGAGACCATGGCAGTGCCCATGGCAGTGAGAATCAAAAGGAAGGATTAGATAAGAATATTTTTAGCTGTAAGCTCATTGAAGACAGGGATTTTATTTAATTAATCATTGTCGTTCCTGTGCCTATAGGTGCTCAATAAATTTATATGTAACTGAACTCAACAAAAATTAACCTACATTCTACCACAGTTTAGGTACCAGGAGCAAAGTTCCATAAATTGAAGCAAATCGTAAACAGTCTCAGGTCTCTCTTGTTAGCACTACTGCATCAATAGTGGATAGTGAGCAGTGAAAAGCCAGCTTTTCAGCTGCTTTAATTTCCACAATGATAGTGTCAAGTGCAGGGACATAAAGTTGGCCATCGGCTTGCTTCCTGAGCTCCAGCTTCTACATGGCTACCTGGAGAAAGGCTGAATGGGTGGGGTGAGGTGGGCAGAGTCAGAACTCTGAGCAATGTTTCAAATCTACAGCAGCCAGATCTGGAATGAGAGGACTCAGTCAATGATCACTCAAGAAACAGAGTTATTTTTCATGGACTTTAAATAATCTTAATATTAGAATGACCCAGAACTTTAGGTAATTAGGGAATTCCTCTGATTATTTAGGAAAATCAAGTCACTGCACAGAAGGTGTCTCTGTAAAACTAGTGTTCAATAAAATAAGTTGCCAATTATAACAAAGGTCAAGAAATATAGTGTATATATATTTACATTTACACTTGTATACTCTCTCTCTCTTGCATACACAAACACACACACACACGTAATTCATGGACTTGACCCAGAGAACACTTGCTCTTACAAACAGCTTTATTGCTTAATTTGTAATTAGGTCCTGTTTGCCCATGTGTGTGGCATTAACATAAATTGATAGAGAGAAGCACCAGGTGCATTCAATTAAAAGAGCTTTAAAGAGAGGTATCCTGTTTTACACTTAGTTGCATTTTCAAAATATATTTAACAGGTTTATTCCAATGTCAGAGTTGCAATAAATAGAAGTCAAGCTGACTTAAAACAGACATGTCTTGTGGGTTAATCCTGTCTCCTGATTTCCATCACCTACTTTGAAGCTATTCAGTCATCCATTTGCAGACCCTGCCAAAACCTGTGTCAGAAGCCTGCAGTTGCTCTTGTCCATGCAGTAGAAGAGCTATAATGTTTTTCTTCAGTTTGAGATTTTATTAGTCTGAGTCAAGCTAAACATTAGAACTAATAAAGCACAGGCGCAATTATCTCCACTGTTATTTCTGTAAAATGGCTGAATGGACTAAGGTGCAGTGTGAGTCAGAGAAACTTAAACAGAGGCATTAAGTAAACTGTGGGCCTAGTTATGAATGTCTTGCCTTTTGTCACTATTCACTTGCTGGCTCTTGGCATGTATGATGAACCCCTAGGAAGTGCCCTGAGTAGCAGGAATCAGAGATATGTTAGAACATTATGCAGTGCAATCATTTTTAGACTTTTCCAAAGCTATGAAAAGTTTATGAAGTAGCTTAAAGCTGCAAACTCAGGCACAGAGGGAAGGTAAAATACACTTAGATTAGATACTGAAGATCTGTGGGTAATGAGTCAATACTGATCCAATTAGTTGTTACTAATACTTTCCTCAAAGAATATTCCTTTAAATTCCATATACACAACTTGCAGTCTTAATATTTCTTAGAGGACACAGACATACATACATTTTCACCTTTTGCACTAGCTTCAAATTTGGGTGATTCCTCAGACAAACATTTACTTAAGATTGCTAGGAAGGAGCAGTCTCATTTGATTATTTTCTCTCAATATTGCCACTTAATTATGCACTAGGAGCACTATAATTTAGCATACCATGGACCGAATGTTTATGCCCTCTTAAATCCATATGTTGAAATCTAATCCCCAATACGATGACATTTGGAGGTAGGGACATTGGGGAGATGTTATTTGGAGGTGGGGGTTTGGTAGGTAAATGGGATTATTACCCTTATAAAAAGGTCCCCCATGGGCTCCCTTGCCATGTGAAAATGTGCAGACACAGTGGGAAGACAGAAGTCTATGGAGTGAGCTCTCACCAGACACCAAAATCTGCTAGTGCCTCAATCTTGGACTTCCCAGCCTTCAGAACGGTGAGGAGTACATTTTTATTGTTTGTAAGACACCCAGATTATGGTATTTTGTTACAGCTACCCAAATGATTGACATACTGTCATTGTAGCCCTCAAAAACCACTGATGATATGTACATACACTACATCTTCAAGGCACACAATAAAGTGAATCTGTAAAGAAGATAGCAGATTAATTATTATTAATAAAATGCATAAAGTCATTGTCTTCAATCTTATACATTCTTTAAGAAAAATATCAATTGCTGACACATCTAAAGTCTCCCTGATTATTTTTGTGTAAATACCTGCCTGTTTTTGTGTTTCCGAGAATCTGTTTTGTTTTCTCTAATTATTTTATGCATAGAATCTTTGTCCTCAACTTGCAAACTGACAAGGAAAGGGGTATGCATGACATTTTATAACTACCTGCTGCCTAGTTAAGATGTTGTAAATTCATGCTTTGCAACATTCTCTTTCTGATCCAACACATAGCAAAAGCAGATGAAATATAAAAGATACAATTAAATAACTTAGAAATAGTAACGTATTGATAAGCTAGAATGGAATGAAATACAAAATGTTAAGAGAAACTAATACTGCAAGGTCTGTTGGTATCAGAGCTTGGAATCAAGCAGAGATGACAAAGTATTCTGGATTCTATAAGATAGAAAGAAATAAGGTCCCTCACATGCAGAGGGGAACTAGAGTTGGCCTCACTGCTGGTCTCATGTTGGGCCAGTGTGGAACTTTCTGACACTGAAGAGGAGGCTGAAAAAAGCCCTGATTTACTAATTTTGGGTGGTACCACGTTTACAGTGCTACCTTTTATAGAGGTACAAAGAAGCAGACAATCTTGCAGCCAGGGAACCTTGAGCCAAGCTATCAGTTGGCAGCAGGAAATGAAATGATAGATTAAATTAAAAGAAGAGAAAAATATCAATAGTAGTTTTAAAATAAATATGTTCAGAAAATCTGAAAGGGTAAAAAATGAATAAATCCATAAAAGGAACAAGAAATTATGAACTAAAGCAGATTAAATGAAATAATAAAAGGTAAACATAAAAATAGAAATTCTTAAAGTGAAAAGTATTGTTATTGAAATAATAAATGGGACAACCTCTAAGACAGAAAGAATAAATAAATAGGAATACAGTTTTGAGAAATTCTACTATATATAGCAGTATATAGAGAGGGTTAAAACATGAATTATAGATTGAGATAATTTAATATACATATATAAGTGTTCTAAAAGGAGACAATTGAGTAAATATCTAGATATACTGCAGTATGTTAAGAATAAAGAAAAGCTTGATAGTTGGAAAACTGAAAGACATAATACCAGAAAAGGAATAACTGTTGCACTGAGGATAGACTTCTCAGCAGCAACAAAGGATGCTAGAAGACAGTGGAATAATTCCTTCACATGCTTAAAACAATACATTTTGAATATGTGTTATATACTCAGCTAATATATTATTTAAGAGTGAAGTTAGAATAAATACATTTTTAGCCACATAAGGCTAAGTGAATTCCACTACTCCATAATTTCTTTTGTCTTTCTTTTTTGAGGTGGAATCTTGCTTTGTCACCCAGGCTAGCATGCAGTGGCACAATCTCAGCTCACTGCAACCTCCACTTCCTGGATTCAGGCAATTCTCCTGCCTCAGCCTCCGGAGTAGCTGGGATTACAGGCATGCGCCACCATGCCTGGCTACTTTTTGTATTTTTAGTAGAGACAGGGTTTCACCATGTTGGCCAGGCTGGTCTTGAACCCCAACCTCAGGTGATCCGCCCACCTCAGCCTCCCAAAGTGCTGCAATTACAGGCGTCAGCCACCACGCCCAGCCATCCATAATTTCAGGAAGACAGTTACTGATATATTTCCTTCATCAAAAATAAAGGAAGGATATGTAAGACATAATAATAAATTAATGATAAAATTGTGAATAAATTTAATAAACTAATTATAAAAAATAAATGTTATATAATATAAAAGAGAAAAAATAAAATTTTAGACAAAGAGTGTGGTGTTGGGATTATTTTATAAAAGCTAAAGTCTTTAGAGTTAGCTAGAAAAATTTATAGTTAAGTGTGTATGTTAAAGAATATAATTGCTAAAGGAAGAAAGTTATACCCTTCAAACTAATAAAGGAAAAGCACAAATAATAATAATGTAACAATGGTAATGATGATGAAAGAAATTTGATCAATACACAAGAAGATAGGAAAGCAGGGAGAAAAAAAATCCTACAAAGTTATGGTGAACCAAAACAAAAAATGAGATGGTAGACATTGAATTTATCACAAAATGTTATTAAAAAGACTAAATTCTCCTGATAAGAGATTATACTGAAAGCAATCTTCCTATGTATTGGTTTCAGAAATGTAACTTTTAAAAATGACATTAGAAAGTTAAAATTAAGGATCCATAACACTCAAATACTAATCACAAAAAGCTGCTAAAGCACATTAATACCAGACAAGGTAGAATTTAAGGCAAAAACATTTGCTGAGACAATTATTTCATTCTAATAAAATGAAGAATCTAAAGGGAGTAGAATACAATAATAAAACTATGTATTTACTTAGCAATATAGCCTTGAAATGCATAAAACAGAAACAAACCTGATTCAAAGGAAATTGAAAAATCCACATATATTATGGATTTTGCTAAAATCTTAACATTTATATCAGAAATAGATAAAGCAGATTAAAAATCAGCAGGCATACAGAAGTATGTAACAAAATAATAAGCTTTTTGATTTTTATTGATTATATAAATTTGAAAATGATATGAATGAATTAGAAAATAGATCACATAGCAGATCATCAATAATGTTTTTAAAAAATAAAGAATTGACATAACACAGACCACTTGGTATGATGATTGGTTAAAATATTCTATACTCATGATGTCTCTCCCATAGCGCTTAAGTCTCTATCAAGCACATAAGCACTCACATGTTAATGTATAACCTGAAGTGGTGTCCTAAAGAATGTATTATATTCTAGATTTCATTCAATTTTTGCTGTTTTCTACACACGTAGCCAAAAATTTCTTGTCAATTTATAGCAGTCTTACAAGGCAAACTGAAGAAAAAATGAGAAAACTGAACAAAGCCAAATTAGTCTTGCACAATATTAAAAAGCCATATGCTTTTATTCTTTCAGTTTTTTTTCAGTTTTGTTGAAAATGTGGGAGGCAACTAAAATTAGTAAAGATAAAATAACTAAATTTACTATTTCAAAATTGTAATTGACCAAAGCATTATTCATTATTTACATCAAATTGTTCAACTTCATATGTAAGCAGTTTTTATTTATCTGTTCAATAAAAACTTTTATCGATTTTGTTGTTCTGAAAGGGAAAAAGGCATGGTCAGCTATCATGAAACCAGATGGTGGCTGGTAAAAAAATCTCAGAATATATGTCACTTTATGAACTTAAAAAAATTATCTTACATGGTTACAGATTACAGTTATAAATAGCCTAGGAGAAAAAGAAAGGCTGATCATTTTTAAATGAATTCGACATTTTATCTACAGTGTTTACATTGGAGAGATTTCATGTCTACATCAACATTGTTTGATGTGTGGTTAACATCATTTTGCCTTTATAAATCCTATGCCAATCATATATCGTCAGTTTCATTATTGTTCTACTTGGTACTTTTTATTCTAAGACACAGAGGCTCACTCACACATCTTAAGACAAAAGGTTTTTAATGTAAAGATGTATATATGCTGAACTCAAATTGTAACTGAAAAAACTTTGGAAATGAAAGCTGCTCTAGGGACTGACAGTTTTCTCCTCTCTTTTGTGATCCTTATAGTAATTTACAGCTCCTGACAGTTCTACGTTTTTTGTATCTGCTTCACTCTTCTCTCTTCATTCTTCCCTCAACCAACGTCTCTGGTTGGCTGTATTTCCTCAATGAATTATGCTTATAATAAATAAGTGGGCAGGGCAAAAAAAAATGGGGGGAGCAAAGGCAATATAGCAAAGGGTTTCAAGAATTAATTGGGAAAGTAGATATAAAATGCTTGTATAAGTTTGCAACATATAATACATGCTTAATAAATGATAGTCAAAAATTATCAGCTCTATTGTAATTTTAGTCATTATGATATATTCTCATTAAGGTTAGACTTTGAGAAGCAGGAACAGAGTATGGGTTATGTCTGATTGTTGAACAGCAAAGACTATAAAACTATATCCAAAATGTTTTATTTCAGTATTTCAGTTTTACAAGCATCAAACATACTACAGTTTTTCTAAGAAAGAAGTTTTTTCACCATCAAGAGTGACCAAAATGAGAAGTGGTTACAATATTTGTTCAGAAAGTCACTGTTTGTGTTATTTAGAAAATCTTATTAAGGGACTTAAAAGTGTGTGTTCATCATTGGTTCATTTGAAAAATGAACAAACTCTAAAAGAGAGAGGCATTGGTTGTTGAGGATTTCACTGAGCTCAATGATGATTTAGCACAGTTATTTTAAATTTCTACTTCTCTGATTTTCTTTTACTTGGTCTCTAGTCTATTACGTATGAGTTTTTGAATTTATATAAAAGTACTAAACTTCCTAAAGTATTTATTTCAACAAATAATATACATGCTACCTACTACAGAACAATCCTAAACTATTTTGAAAGCTACAAACAGCCTTTCCCTCACAATGTTTGACAAGAGAAAGCCATTTACCTTCAATAAACTTTTGGTAAAGATAGATAACTAGCAACTCAATGCCTATACCCTTAAGCCAAAGTTACTTAAAAATTTAAGAGATTTCCAATAATAAAATAGAAAAAAATTATTAGTAAAAATTATCTTCAAAATATCATTTTCAGTAATTCAAAATTAGACATTTTAGTTAAAAATTCCCACCTTTTCATTACCATGCACCTGTTGATGATTTCTTTAAATGGAAATAGTATAAATTACTTATTTCTGAAGTTTAATAATTTGGTAATTATTTCGAAAGCTAGAAAACCATTGGAAGAGTAAGAGACAATTGAGACAATTGGGTTTTTGAGGTTATATCCTCAAAAACTTGAGCATGGCTTTCTAAAAGCTTTGATCATTTTAAGCATTTACATGACAACTTAATGTAATGGCAAGCAATACAAAATTGAAATTGCAAAACTGAGTTTCATATTTCCTTGTAAACATGACTTTGTTGATCTTGGGTCTTTCAAACTGTGCTTTTAATGCAACAACACAGCCCCTCCAAAAAGTAAGAAAAAAGTATATGCCTATTATAAAATTAGAGAAACAAGCTAAATTCTGAACCAGAAACAATTTGTAGAAAACAACAACAGCAAAAATAGTAACAACAAAAATATATATTACGTAATGAAAAAAAATAAACTAAGAAAATAGAGCAGGTACTGGCTATTTTAAGAGCTAATAGTAATCGAGCACTTGATAGTCGCAAGCATCACGTTTAACGCCCACTGTCCTGTTTATTTCAAATAGCCTTTCTCTCAAATGGGTCCTAGAATTAGCCACATGTTAAATTTAAGGAACATGATTTCATATAAGCGCATAAATTACATATGCTATATATTTTATCCAGTCTCTTTATTCGAATTGCAAGCATTTTCCAAGTCACTAAATTTTGCTTTAAAAACCTTACAGAGTATGGCCATCTAATCAGGTAATTATTATGTAAATAGATGTTATCTGCATCTAATCCCCAATTACTGAATACTCACCAGCATTGATAACTATTATTTGTTTAAACTTTGCTAGTTATATAAATAACTCATACATTTTCATGTAGGAGGCTTGAATAAATATCATCACACAAAATTAGCAAAGTATTCATATTATTTAAACACACTTTATTTAAATTTTTTCCCAAAGAATAAGTTTCAGAATCTTTAAGCCCTCAAATAAGAATAATGAAATAGAATTATTCATTACCAGCCACTTTTCTTAATCTTGGAGTGCCGATTTTCCTTCCATGGCCAATAAAACAGAAGTTTTGCAAACAATTCCAATCTCTCCAAAGGCCCCCTTCCTACACACCAACCAAACCAAGTCATCACATTCATGGTTGGCCAAGGGGGGCCCAATTGCACACATATACCACCTGGAAAATCTGCACTCTCATGTCTCCCTCCTCAAAGTCCATTATCAAAGGCAAGTTCAGATTTTATTCACTTCAAATTGATGATGATAATATGTACCCACAAAAATTAAAAATAAAAATGAAAAATATTTAAAAATTGATGATGATATAGCTCCTTGGGAACATCCCTTAAATTACTCTTTGGCTCCTAGAACATCCTCATTGATACTGAATTTATTTCCACTCTGAGCAGTTGCCTGTATTGCAGAAATCCCTGAGGCTTTAAAGGCTAGGCTAAGTGGACATGGATGAAATGTAGAGGTGACAAAATATAGAGGTAGCAGACATCCTGCGACTTTTTAAAAAAGAACAGTGGGGGAATTTCTACCCATGGTGGAGGGGAGGACTTACCCTGTACAATTATGTCTGCTAGAACATTTTAAAAAGAAAAGCCTTGATCTCAAATACCAACCATGTATAAACATTCTATTGCATAAACCCAGAGGCAGTTAATATTTTTAATGAAGACAAAAGCACACAGAAAACAATCACATTTCTCTTAAATCATAATTTACACCAAACTAATTGAATTTAAAAGTAACTAAACAAGAAAACATCAATTAGATATCTATTCTCTCTCTTGTATAATTACGTTGTTTTATTGCCCATGTTTCATAATTGTTGCCAAACAGCTTTTAAATCCTATCATTAGTTTTCCAGAAAAGGGGAATGAGAAGTGTTATATGTTTTGGACTCTAAGGTTTTGTTTTGATAGGTATGCTGCCACTGAAATTAGGTCCTCTTGACAAACAGGTGTTCGCGGTACACATGATTTTTAAAACATCCTTACCTATTAGAACAGTTATACTCATGGAGTTCTAGTTACTGAAAATTAATCATTGCAGTGGCTCATGAGTACTTTGTTTATATACTAGCTAAATCTAAACCAAACCAAGTCATCATGAATGTATCCTCTCTACTCTCCTCACTTTGAGCAAGAGAAACGATAGCTTTAACAGCAAGTTGGTTTCAAAGGTAAAAGAAGCCAAGATCACTCCACTTAATTGCATCCTTGAAAATGTAGGAATAGAAGAAAGGATGTATCTGTGAAAGTGGTCTCCATGAAACTCTATTTAAACGGTTGCTTCTTCTCAACCTTCCTCCCATTTTCCCTTTTCTAATGGTAGAATAAACTACCATTAGGTGATAAATTTAATTAGAGAACACTGTTTTACAAGATCATATTTCCAAGTAACAAAAACTTTTATGTCAGTTTCATACAAAAGATGTGCTGGATATATAATTCTGTATATAATATGTAATTCAGCTGGTGGGGACTTTTCTTCGGTGCCCTTATTCATGACTCTCTATTCCTTTGGATATATCTTTTTCCTCAATTAGCCTAATGCTAATAATAGCCTAATCCATAATAAAAGTCAACTTCACACTTATTGGCACATCATAGACCTTCATAGCCATCTTCTGGGCTTTCATGTCCATAATCCCATTAATATTTGTAATGATCCTGAAAGAAATTCTGAGTATTAAGTTAAATATCTTGAAATCATGTAGCAGAGGTTCACAAAGATTATATTAACTCCTGGCCTTACAAAGCTGGCAAACAAGTGAGAAATGCCAGAATTGTTTTTATTCTATCTCCTACTACCCCTTCCGTAGGCCTCCCCTAATAACCACACTCTCATTGATTTCTCCTGGAATTCTTTGGGTATTTAAGAACACACAATTTAGCATCTGAAGGCTAGCTTGTATTGTTCTGTAATGAACTCATCCGGGCTTTTTCTCTTAAACGAGATTTTAATCTCCTCAAAGGTAAACATCTTTTGTGCCAGCCTTTCAGCATCACACTATATTAGTGGGCAAGGGTGGAGGCACAAGATCTACTTGGGGAACAACACTTCTTTGCTTAATAGAATCTGTACTGTTGTTTGCAGACGTAGATCCTTCTCTACTAGATCTTTTTGCCTTTGCTTCCTGCTATACTTTTTATCTCAGTTTTCCATAGGTTTTGGTTATTGCTCTAACCCTTAGATCCCCAGTCCTGCCTTCACACCCTCATACTTGTTCACCTGCTGTAGTTCAACCACCCAACTATTGATGTTGGCTTTTTCTAGTGAGGCACCTTTGCCACCTTCAGCTTCAGCAGCTGGCTTTTAGAACCGGTCCTGCCTTCAGATTGAGCTGATGGTACAACTAAATACCTCTTCTAGACATGCTATCTAGCTAGATTTTTTTCCTACTTCAGCAACCTTCATACATGATATGTGCATTGGTACAGCATACTTACCTGAAAAATAATGGCCACATATAGCAATATCTCTGCTTACAGAAATTCCAAATTCCTTCCTATTATGGGCTCCATAGCTACCTATTATTTCCTATTTTCTTCTACAGCCACTAAACATTTCTAGTTTTCTAGCACTTTCCCTGTAAAACTGAGAGGAGGGAACTTGTCATATTCATCTTTGTAGCAGGATGTTGATTTGTAAACGAAGTGTTGATGCATTGTTGATGTTACTTATTTAATAAAGGTATAATAGATATTAGCAGGGCAGATAGGCATTCTAAGAAAATGGCTTGACATAAGAGCTGAAAGAACTTGTTTAGAATTTTAGAATTATCAAAGGGCTTCATGTTCATTTCACCTTGTTAGGGAGAGGATATCTCCTTTTGCCTAGAGCATGTCTCAACCATTCAGAGTTAAAATGGCTGTTCCAGCCCAGCAAATGGGAAACAAATTTGAGTTTTACTGAAATGGGTTAAGGGCTCTAATTCTCGTCTAGTGTGTTGGTTACACTGGGAAGGAACATCTGTCTAGTTATAATAGTCAAGAGTACCGGTATGATAAATTTGGGTAGGTTTCAGAGTGCTTGCTCACAGCTAGCAAGGAGGATCCAAAAAAGATGCAGAAAGTTGTGTAAACAACTGCAATTGCACTGACACTTTCATTCATATGTTTAGAAGAGACATATCTGAAGAAAATTCTTTTTAAAATAGTTTCTCAGCTGAGATTATACTTTTTTAGTGTGTAGCTCACAGGAAGTTCTAGTTGCCAAGAGCATGTTCGATATGAGTAGATCTCTACCTAATTCTTATGCATAATGAACCCAATTTTCATCTCTTCTAGAAAGATACTGAAAACATGTGTCGTGATCTCAATGTTACAACCATGTAGCCTCATCTTTCACAATACGGTACAATCACCAACGAAGTTTAAACTTCATGTCTGGCATCCAAGGTGAACATTTCCATAGAAAGTAGGAAATATTTAGATGTCTGTTTGCCGTGGTGGTGGTGTTCCTATATACTTTTTGTGACCCTAAAGATATAATAATGTTTGACATTTTTGTTAGCCAGTAATGTGGACTTAAGACATCCTAACCACACTGCTGACTCTAACCCTTTAATAGACTTTCACGTAGTTCTTGAGCCTCACTGCAGGCTCCAGTGCTAGTCCCGGAGGAAATCAGAAAAGGGTTGAAACCACTGACACAGCCATCTCTTTAGCTCCTCCTAACGCAGGTGTACAGTTTCCTGTAGTGAGCAGATCGGGGCCTACAGGGACACTGCATGCTTGCACTGGGCTGTTACTAGTTTCATGGAAATATGTACTAATTGTGTCACTGTGTTTTCTTGTCACACTGCCCCCTTTCTAGGCCGCTCTGGCACCGTTTATTTAAACTGTGCAACCATCTGGCCCAGGTGCCGTAGAGATTGATCAGTAGCACAAGGCCACCACAAGCACAACCGCCACCCGGCCATCCCAGCTATTTCCTCCAGCATTCTAGACATCATGGCGTCCGAGGGTGGGTCCAACGGGCTTCGAGTGTTCGGGAGATAATGCACACTTCGCAGTGGATCTTCTCGGGGCCCCGAGCGTTGCCCGCCCATTAGGTGGCGCCGGTCCCCTCGAACAGGTCGCTCAACAACTCCCGCCCAGCAGCCGCCCTTACTGCGCGCGCGCAGACTTCGGCGTCTACTTCCGGTGTGGCCCAGGCGGGGTCCGCAGAACCAGCTATGTCGGCCTACGGCATGCCCATGTACAAGAGCGGGGACCTGGTGTTTGCCAAGTTAAAGGGCTATGCCCACTGGCCGGCGAGGATAGAGCACATGACCCAGCCCAACCGCTACCAGGTGTTTTTCTTCGGGACCCACGAGACGGCCTTCCTGAGTCCCAAACGCCTGTTCCCGTACAAGGAGTGCAAGGAGAAGTTCGGCAAGCCCAACAAGAGGCGCGGCTTCAGCGCGGGGCTGTGGGAAATCGAGAACAACCCCACGGTCCAGGCCTCCGACTGCCCATTAGCCTCAGAGAAGGGCAGCGGAGACGGGCCTTGGCCGGAGCCCGAGGCCGCAGAGGGCGACGAGGACAAGCCGACCCACGCTGGTGGCGGCGGCGACGAATTGGGGAAGCCGGACGACGACAAGCCCACTGAGGAGGAGAAGGGGCCGCTGAAGAGGAGCGCGGGGGACCCGCCGGAGGACGCCCCCAAACGACCCAAGGAGGCAGCCCCCGACCAAGAGGAGGAGGCGGAGGCGGAGAGGGCGGCGGAAGCGGAGAGGGCGGCGGCGGCGGCGGCGGCGACGGCCGTCGACGAGGAGAGTCCGTTCCTCGTGGCGGTGGAGAACGGCAGCGCCCCTAGCGAGCCGGGCCTGGTCTGCGAGCCGCCTCAGCCAGAGGAGGAGGAGCTCCGGGAGGAAGAAGTCGCGGACGAGGAGGCCTCCCAGGAGTGGCATGCCGAGGCACCGGGCGGCGGAGATCGCGACAGCCTGTAGTTACCAGCGTTTCCAGAAGAGCCCCTGCCCCGTTCCTGCTGCGGCCTGGCCGTTCTTGGGGAATCTGACCACGGCGTGCAAACTGGGACTGCCTTTCCCTCTCCTCAGCCCGTCCTCCTCCAACCCGCGCTCCTTTGCCCTGCCGGGCCCCAGGATGGCAGGCCACCTGACTCTCACCTCTGTGCCCCCACGCCTCTGTGATCTGAGTCAGGGCCTCAGTTCCCTCCCTGGGATAAAGTGAGGCCACCATCCCAGCTTCCGGCTCCCTCTTCTCCCCCCTCTACCCGCCACCCCACCCCACCCCACCCCCGCCCACTCGTTGCCTGATTCCGTTTCCGACTTGGGGTTCAGGCAGGCTGTTTTCACCTCTAGACACCCCTCTCCACCCCTCCTGCTTCCCCAGGCATTATGAACCTCTGCTTAGGAATATGGGTAGGAGTGAAAGGCCTGGCAGATAAAGAGCAGAGGGCACTTGCAGGGCCTGGGATGAGCAGTCTTCAAGCTGTGGTAGTTAGCGGGCAGGAGAGCGACATCTTCCTGAGCTCCTGTCCATGCCTGCCATACCTGCCAGCTTCAGACATTTAGGGAAAAGGGGCAGCATGTGGGGAATGCCCCCCGCCTTCCACAAATCCTTTTGCTGACCCAGGAAGTTCTGGGAGTTGCCGTTTTTCATCAAAACGTTTGGGGGCTTCCAAGTTGTTTGTGAGATCTGAAAACTTAACTTTGCCCAATATCCTGGTTGGGGACCGTGAGAAATATCTGTCCCATTTAGATCTCTGGGGCCACTGATGGGATGCCCTGGGAAGATCCTTGGCTGCCGCTTTCTCTCCCCACAGCCTCAAGGCCACCCTACCGTCATATATATCACTCAGGCGTAGAAGAAAAGACACATATTTTATAAAATCTTTTTAATAAAAGGAAGTTCCAAGAAGAATTTTTAAGAACTACCTCTAGGTGTGCCTCCACGCTGGCCCTAGCTTTCCCATTGCTGTTCCATTGCTGAGACAAACTGGAAGGCTCCCTTTCTGTTTGAAGTTTTATGACTT
The DNA here is from genome assembly GCF_000001405.40 of Homo sapiens. Taxonomy (NCBI): domain Eukaryota; kingdom Metazoa; phylum Chordata; class Mammalia; order Primates; family Hominidae; genus Homo; species Homo sapiens. The sequence goes on from NC_000006.12 coordinate 22,571,378, forward strand.
GTAGTCAGGCTTTGCTGTTCGTCACAGTGTCATTTTCCATTCAGGTACCATCACCTGGTCCCATCAACAGGTCTAGTATGTAGCTCACTGATAACAGAGGAAGATGTGTCTCCTCCCACCCTCTTCCTAATGGTCATTATGCCTTTCTCCATCTATTGTCTCTTTCACCCCTTCCCCTCTCCCTTGGGCTCTGATGAAAAATTGTTGACTGCAGTTTCGGAAGTTTGATCTGAGAACCAACCATAGAATGTTTCAGTTCTAGGAAATAAAACCAGTTGATTAAAGCAAATTTTCTCCGGCCTGTTCCTTTGGCTTCTAAATAATTGGTTCTTAAATGGAATGCTCCTCTTATTTTTTATACATCTTGTGTTAAAGCAATTGTAATATACAGGGACATTTTAGAATCACCTTTGAGAAACCTTTGTTATCTTAAGGTCTCTATCCTTCACTTCGTCTGTAATAGTCACTACCACTGATTTGAATAAATGGAAACAAGTTAACTTAGAATGTTTGGATGCTGACAAATTGGGACAATGCTTTGCCAAAGAACTGCTTTGTGGAAAAATAGGGTGAAGGGATTGGCCTTTTTTTTTTTTTCTTGCTTCCCCACGTGTAATACTGTTTCTTCCAATGCCTTACTCATGAAAATAAGACAGTTGCTTTATACTCCCAGTTTGTAAAATAAATAGTATTTGTAGACTATTTTGCATTTGCAAGTGGCTTTGTGCAGATATCTCAGGATATTTAAATATAATAATTGTTACGTATTGGGCATCCTAATTTCTGTATTCATCAACATTGCATGCATACGTGGCTTCAGTAAATACTGTAGTCCTTCTCATAGAACGTGCTATGGCATCACTAACCAGCGTGGTTGGCAGCTGGAGACAACCCTGTTTTCCATCCCTGAAAAGATGGTATTATTTTACTTCAAGATGTATAAATCAGATGATTCCTTGTTTTTCAATTACTGTTATTGCAATAATATTAATACTAGAAGTTACTAGTCACTGAATGTCTACTCTGTGTCCTGAAGATGACTTCATTCAATCTTTGTAATAATCTGGCAAGGTAGGCATTAATACTCAAATTTTTCATTGGAAGAAGCTCTGGTTCAGAGGTTAAGTGGCCTTTCCTGCATTCCACAGAACATTCAGTATTCAAACACAGGTTTTACTAGTCCAGAACCCGTGATCTTTCTCCTGAAGGGCACATTTAGAAAAGCACTAACAATGAAATCAGAAGTCAATAAAAGCCGTTTTAGTATTAATAACAAGAAATCATGATAGTAGCTATTACTGAGTCTCTGAAGTGAGCCAAGCAGTACAGTATGTTTTACATGTGATGTCTTTATTAATACAACTACCTAATTAGGTAGCTACTAATACCTCTGTTTTAGAGCTCAGGGAGCTGGGGTTCAGAGATGTTAAACAATTTTCCCAAGGTCATACAACTAGTAAATGACAAAGCCAAGATTCAAAAGCAGGTCTTTCTCATTCTGAATCATAGGTGCTTTGTTTCATTATATTTTATTGCTTCCCATTGAATAAAACTTTCTACTGAATACAATGGGAGTACTTATTCTCCCCTACTATTTTGAAACAAACATTTAGAAATCTGTAAGGCAAAAAATATATTAATGGATGTTGCTAGTGGGTGTTTAAACAGTATCATTTGGGGCAGCACCTGACAAGTGTTTTGTCTTTAAATGACTTGGTAAAATGATAAGGACAACTGCACATTGAATATTTTTCAAGTTGGATGTGACTATAGGAAGTTTGAATATGGATCGGTATTTTCGCCGCAGGCGGGCATATGATTCTGATAAGGGTTTTATGGAGGCACATCTTCTGAAATGATTCAATAATGTGAAGTATAGAAAATGAAATTACTACCATTTGTGTCTATTTCTTTGCACTATTTCTTTCCTCTTTTTGTGCTTCTAATATTGGGGATAGAAATAATTGTTTACTAGGACTTGACACACACATTTGCCTTCTTGATGATGATGGTATTGAAGTGAAAACAGTAATCCGATACTGGAAACCCAAACCTCACCATTATGCAACGTATCCATGTAACAAACCTACACACGGATCCCCTGAATCTAAAATTAAAAAATCACTTCCAAGAAATTCGGCATGGATCACAATTAGCAAGCAAGAAGCTTAAAAAAAAAGATAGTCCAACTAGTAGTACATCTAATGAATGATACACTGAGTTACTAAATACAATTAAACCTAACAAAAGGAACTATGGAGAAAATCTATATTCTCAGCCCTGTTTTCCTGGGTATTATACCCCATTTATATGCTTTGGTGGCCAAGAGATGTTTTTGTGTGGACTGAAAAATATGCTGCTTTTAATATTTTCTTTGATTATTGAAAATTCCCAATAATTCCAGTGCTGTTTTTGTTTTCGTCTGAATAACGTGTGCCTCAGTGACAAAATTACTGATCAATGACTAGTTACTTAACTGAACCAAGGGTGCTTGCTGCTCAACCTTTTGCTGATGCTGTGTTGTCAGTAGTCCAAACGTGTCCATGAGTGTTTGGAAGATCTTGTTTAAAAGTTGCATGTAAATGTATGCTTGTGATATTGCCAGTGATTTGCAGACACATTTAGCATACTATTTCCTATAAGGTTTTCAAAGTATTTGATATTTCACACAAACGTTACTCCAGCAAGGGATTGAGATGCCATTGAGGGCTGTCAATTTTTCTGTTTTCTTTTTCTTTCAGGCAGGATTGAGCTTTCAGCTGCTCTGTAGATTCTCATCAGAGGTGCAGACTCTTCTTTGTGGATCATACCTACATTTTATTTTTCCTGAAAATATAGTATGTATTCAGGGCACACAGGCATCTTCTATTCACTTCATCATCAACACTTGTCAAACAAAAACTGCTATTCATGCTACAGACTCATGCAGCTCCCTGCATTTTGAAAGAATTGCCTCCCTCTTCTGAGCCTGGCTCAAGGTAAGACCCATCCCTTTGTGTTCCTGTAGAGCCCTATACTTGCACTGATGGTGTTCTAATTTCTTGTGTATTGCTTGCTCTTCCACTAGACTGGAGGATAAAGGAAATGTGTTTCATTAATATTTACTCCCACTTCCCAAACATGTCACAATCAGCACACAATAGATACGTTCTAAATGCTCGAAGGTCTGTTGTCAAATATTCCTTATAATCGTGGTGCTGGAGTAAAAGTCATGTGATGTTGAACACATTCCGATTCTGAAAGCAGAGAGGCAGGGTAAACTGGCCAGTATACTAATGGCAAGTGTGAGTTGGGGTGATTTTCTGTCTGTGTCATAGCTGCCTAGATTAGGTGACTTGATGACACTGACAGTTCTTACAGACCCAGAGAAATTTCCCTTTTAATGTCAAGGTAATGCTATTTATTTTCTCTAGATCTTCCCTCCATCTGGGTCACTTGTAGTTTAACCTTGTATAGTGCATTTGAGCCCCAGGTAGACAAGGGAGCATCCTGCTTGCTTCCAGGCAGGAGCCATGTATTCACCATTCAGCCAAAAATTTACAATAATAAAGAGTAAGTATGCCAAAAGGAACTTGTATCTGCCATTCTCTCAGCCTCTTGTCATGTAGACACCTCATTTGCTGTAGACACTTCTCAGAATGTAATATCTTTGAAGGAAGGGGATCTGTTCACCCCACAATATGGTTGGCCTGAATCTTATAAGCCAATTATCTGTCTTGAATATAAATAAGTTATCTTTTCCACTACTGGTGAAAAAACTGACTGTATTAAACCTTGAGATATCTAAAATAGAGACATTCTAAGTGATTTTCCAGACTAATTCTGACAGCAGGCGATTTTCTCTATGCAGTCTGTTTTTATATGTAAACTTCAATTTCACTGAAATGGTCTTGAGAATGCCAGAGGATACACAGAGAAGATCATAGCAAAAGGCTCTGATGGCCAGAGGCAGCTTGGGGCATATGTTGACCAAGGGCAGCCCTAGTCATAGAATGGCCAAGCCGTTGCATGGGGACCAAAGAAAAACAAATTTATCCTACTTTATTGGCCTGATGTGTGGTCATTGTCCAAGAACTGTGAGTCATTTGGTGAGTGCCCTTTTCTTCCCTCTGTTTTTTTTTTTTAAATCAGTTTGAGAAGGCTCTTCCTTCTGCTCAGAAAGCTTATAGCTCTCTTCTCTTCTTCCTCTTGATGTAGAAGTACTGTGTCATAGTACTTTCCCTGAAGTACTATGTCAAAATGAGGTATCACTTTAATGTGTTCCCGTAAGACCTTGGTTTTACCTTTATAGTATCTACTGCACTCACCTATAGTTATCCATTTATTGGTTTTTATGAAGTAATAGATTGTACATTCTGTATGGAGAGGACTGTATCATTTTACTTATTTAAACCAAGGGCCTGGTTCATATATATATTAAGCACTCAATAAATGGTTGCTAATAAGAAAATGAATGAATGCATGGCTAAATCCTGGGGCTCACCCACCCTTACTCCAGCCCCAAGAGGAAAGTTTGAGGAATCTTGTCATGCCTAGTAAAAAATGGTAAGGGGAGCCAAAGATTGTTTTTCACTCACGTTGTACCATTGATTAAACAAGATTATTTTGTTATAAATAGGTGTTGGTCTCACAAAGTAGCAGACCTTAGCAATGCTGAAGCCTAAGGAGGATAAATCAAATGATCCAAGTTTGCCCTCTGAATCTGAGTGTGAATATGCATGTCAAACACAACATTCATCTGCTTTAGTGATTTTTCTCTTTAATATTCTGATATTTTATCATCAACTTCCTTTAATATAGGAAGCATCTTGGTGGTTTCTGGCTTTGGAGTCATCCAATCTTAGATTTAAATCCTGGGCTCCACTATTTAAGAGCTATGTGATCTCAGTTTCCTTGAACTAAAAGCTGTGATAATGACTTTCATGTGACAGCTTTGTTGTGAGAAGCAAATATGCTCATGTATGTTGAAATATCAAGCATAGTATCCAGCACAAAATAGGCACTATGTACATGTTAATTCCAATCCCTTCCATGTGTATCCAGAGAACTAATGTTACCGTTTCATATATTGCAGCCCAACTTATCACCTTTATTTAGAAAACACTGGAGGCCTTTGCCAGACGCAAGCAGCTCCCTCGTTTTGAGATATATATATATATATATATATATATATATATATATATATATATATATATATATGATAATTCTAAATTTAGTCTGTCCATACGCAGAGAGGAGCTAAAAATCTTATCCTCCCAATTATTCATATTGCTCTTCAATATCTTCTTAAATTCCCTCACTGGTAGCTGAGCTACTTTATACAGACACATCCGGTTTTAAAGATTCCTCTTTCTTGGCATGACTCATCCCTCCTGTGGCCAGTTTTATTCCTCCTGTTATTTCCCTAGGATCCATTCACTGTTTTCCAGGGGACATTTCCTAAATGTGTCTCCTTGAACGCTTTGTATTATTTCTGATTTTTTCCAACTATAGAAATAGTAATTATATTGCTCTAGTTATTTCTTGGCTTCCTGGCCTTTTTTTCTAATGTACCTTTCCTTTCACACATAATTTTAATGAGCTGCCCAACTCGATTACTAAAAGGCACTGGAGTATTACAAGGGTTTGACCGTTCTTTCCAGAGGTTCTCTCTGGTTTTACATCCTCCTGTGATCTACCAAGCGTCACTTAATTTTTCTTTCTCTTTTTTCTTTCACACCCTGGCCAACTCTTCATCACAGTCATTATCCACCTCTGTTGGTGATCTACTTAACATTTCATTAAAAAATATGTTCAGCTCAGCTCCTTTCTTCCTACTCTTCACATGTCAACAAGACCTGCTTTCCACCTTTCACTTGTGATTCTTCTGGTGCTCAGAATTTGTCAATCATTAGTTCTCTTTTTGGTGCAGTCTCTCCACACACCCACCCTCAGCACATCTGTATTTCAGTCTAGGCTGCATTCCCATCAACTGCCATTCTTTTTTTTCCACCTGTTTTCTGTCCTTGTTTTTACCCTTAGATGTTGGGACATCACACTGATTTTAGTCAATGAATACTTTGATGATAGTGCCTCAATAAGCCTTTTAAAAGAAAAGCAGAAATAGGAAAAAACAAAGATAACTGTCCTATTTTATGAATCTCATTTTTTTTTAAAGTTAAAATCTGCTGAACTATTAGAAACATAATAACGTTGCTTCCACATATTTTGGAGGTTGTTAGATGTGAAAACTGGAGGAGAAAGCATTGCCACAAGGAAGGGGGTGTGCCTGCATTGCAGGAGGGCCTACTGTGAGGATGGGGACAGAGCAGTGAATGAGGCAGAGAAGCTACCTACCGTCCTGAAGCCCATATTTCATGGGAAAGACAGACAGACAATGAATAAATGAGACCATTTCAGAATGTGATCATATCAGGGTGTGACAGAGAATAAGTGAGGAATATATATTTTCAATTATGTTAAAATTAAACTTTGTATATTAGACTGCTCTTAGGAAGTGCGTGGCTCATTTCAAATTCAACCATTTTGGTAGAACAAAGTATTTCTGCAGTACTGTGAGTTTATAGCTCTATTGCCTGTACTAGTGGTTCTCCATCTTTTTAATGTGTAGAAAAAGATCCCGGACACTTTCATACCAGTAAACATTTCTCTGTGTGTGCAGCATCAACAATAATAACAGCACCCACTTACTGAATGTTTACTATGTGCCACATGCTCTTCTAGGGGCTTGAGATACATTACTAAACAATATAAATAAAGTTCCTGGCTTTTTGGTGCTTCCATTTTAGCAGATGGAAAAAGGCAATTAGAAATAAACTTAATAAATAAGGAAATTATGTTGATGTTAGAAAGATGTAAATGCCATTGGAAAAAACAAAGCAATGGCTAGAGAGTAGTAGGCGGAGGTGGTGCAATTTCAAACACAGCAGTAAGAATGGTGGCCAAGTTTATGTGAACACCTGGGGCTTTCTCTTTCCCTCCTCCGTAAGTCATCACATGAGAAAATAAGTAAACAGAGTGGCATCCTTATAAAGATTACCTTGAATCATTATAATTGGTAAAATAGAAATAATCCACAATCTCAAATACTTTACTATTTATAAATTATTGCTAGTGGCACACCTCCCAGCCAAGAGAGAGACATGAATCCTATAACATCTGAAATGAAAGCCATTGCTTGGTACCAGTTTATTATATATACCTGTGTGGCATCTTTTGCATTGTGATATAGACCATATTTGACCTTTATTTTATTTACCATTTTGCATGCATTTAATTCCTCAAATAGAAAATACTCAACCACAGGGACCATGAAATTTGTTTTTCTGAATCTTCTGCAATACCTAGCAGAGCGCGTCACAAATCATCATCTGTTTTTATTGACTAACTTAATGTAATGAAGTCACAATTTAGGCACATGTTAACAGCATACCTCAGCATCCTGAGAGCATGTGCACATGTGAGATAAGTTTCCCGTGAGACAGGAGTCCTAGTAGTAGCTGGATGCCAATGAGCTGGATGTCACGGAGTATTCATGAGGCATGTTGTTATTGCATGCTACAGTTTAAGCTTTGCAGAGTAGACATATTTGCCTGAACACCTGCCCCATCCCCATCTTTATAGCTGATGTCACTCACTTTTAAATGCAAACTGAGTGGTTGACATTGGAGTATGCATAGCAAGGGAAGTATGTATGTGCAGGTGGGGAATATTCTAAAGACAAATTTCTATTTTGCAGTTCCTTTCAAGGTCAAGTTTTTCTTAAATCATATAGAGATACTTCTCTATTACATTTATTGTCATTCTTAAATCATTTTAGGCTTTGGAAGCCTTCTCCATTTTTTTTTTCTGGTCCGGAATCTGAATTGTTGTTTGATGACAGGAGCCAGACTTTAGAATTGGTATAATAGATATAAATCTACTGTGTTCTCGATATGCTATCCAGACTTCCAAGTAGAGGCCTTGTGAAGTCCTGGGTTTTGTAAAATATAACTTGAAATGCCAATATTTTAGATAAATAATTGAAGCCTGGGTTGGAATGATAGTGCAGACTGTGTAAAGAGATTCATGTAGGATAAGCTAAAAGCCTTCTTTCACAATGCAGAGAAAACCCATAGTTTTGCTATTTCTACTTTGTTAGCATTCCTACCAACTGCTCACCTGTGAGCAGGCATTGCCGTTAGGACTGAATGTCACAGCCTTGAAAAAAATCTACACTAAAGTCCCGTGGTGAGGCAGAAAAAAGAATGGACACACATCAGAGCTGTTCGAGCCACATTAATTACTAAAGTAGCTGAGTATCCACCCTCTAATATTTCTTGTGACTGTCAACATGACTACGTAGTTGACAGAGCAGAGCACGTCACAAAGTATCATTCATTTATATTGATTAAATATATAATCAATATAGTTAAGTCATGTTGATATTTTATTTTAGTCATGTTATTATAAATGTTTGAATGCCAAGCAGATGGAATTCAGTGCAGGTATACTATAATATTTTTGACTCCGTGGATTTAAAAAAGAGAGAGAATAATTACAATGATATTTTACCTTCCAAGTGCTCAGTGTGGAATAAAAAACACAAAACCAAAACATATTCTACTTTCTCTTGTCCCACCCTTGCCTCCTCAGAAAAAACATCACCTGTATCAACTCTACAAATACTATACCATGCAAGAGAATAAACCTCTGGCCCTTTGATTGTGGTCACCCCATGAACTTGTTAAAGAGAGTCCCTCAGGGTTAAATATAAAGAATAATGAACAGCTGAAAAATGCTGGGCTGCAGTGATTCCCAGACCATCACACGGAGTCATAGCCTGCCATATGTGTTATCACCCAGAGTGGAAGGGAACCTCCTCCAAGAAGCTGCATATTGGTGAATCCTTTTTTCTGATCCTGTAGGACCAGGATGGATACCGATTTATCAATTTTGAAAAAACAACAACAAAGAAAGACTACGTCAGAGATGGTTGATGGCAAGGTGCCTCTTTATTCTTGGAGGACTATTTTAGCTGTTAAAATGAATAGATGCCCCCAAGAATTATATCACAGAAATAATTAGTGTACCATATATCTGCAGGGCTGCTCTCTCTGCACTTTCCCCAGTTTGGCTCAGGGGACAGACAGTAGTATATTGCTGCTGCCGCCACCGCCTCCCCCTAATAATGGCCATTATTCATAGCAGGGCACTGGAGGTCACTAGCGTGGTCTTTGTGCAAGAGACCCTACTATTCATCCTGTATTATTCTCTAGATTGTGAGCTACGGCAAATGGATTAGGGAACCAGTTTATTTTTTGTATATGAGATGTAGATTTGACCTTGGGTTGTCCTTCTGCATCCTCTATGATCTCACAAACCCTAGATATAAGACAGCAGCCTTGTAAAAAATCTCCAACTGTGCTTTGGTTTTGAGTTTAAATCACAGTATTCCAATCATTTGTTGGTTTTGCTATAAAGATGCCTGGGGCATCCAGCTTCAACTGAGAGGGCAGACTTGTCATTGTTAGTAATTAGAAGGAGCCTGGTACTGATTCAAGGTAGCTCAGAATTCATAAAAAAATTTTTTTTAAACCAAATGTGTTAGTGAGATGTAGTTTGCTGAATTCATTGTAGCTGTGTGGCTGTCTTTTTAACCTTGCTGCCCTGCTCATTATACATGCAGTCAGTCACCAAAGACCTTGGTTCCCCGCTGTGCTCCTGAAGCCTGATAAAATGCATCAAATATTAGATGAATCTTCTGGTCTTCTGTCTCTTTCAGATACATGGGTATAGCTATAGATTGAAATAAACTCCTAACATTTAATGCTGTATATGGGCTGGCGCTTAGTAGGCACAGAATAAATGCCTAATAAATTAATAAATAAATGATTAAGTGAAAAGGATATTGCTTATGGCATTTCAAAGTCAGCAACTTTATTTTACTGAGGAAATTAATCAATAGAGAATTGCCTAATCTTGCACACACAAGAAACACTTCTCAGGGAGGCACATTTCTATGACTTCTTAGTGTTGGTTTCCTTATCAAGGAGGCAGCATCTAGACATGTAAAACAGTTTTACCTTACCTACAATCCCATTTCAGAGGTTTTTTTATTGTCTCTACACAAGGTATTAACACTGATTAGCCACTGGACCCTGCTTTAAAAGTGGGCTTGCCAGAAATAGACAGGGATGCTATTTCAGGAAAACAAAAATCATTTTAGCAGTGTAACCACAGAACACTGGTGCCACAGCAAATTAATGGATGCCCCACCTTGAACAACGTGTTAAGGTAATATGTGATCATCTCAATTAGTAATTTCACTCCATGAATTCCAGAGCTGAAGATTAAGGTAGACAAAGTAGAATCACTAACACCTTTATGAATTGTTTATACTTTCATTTGACAATGCCTATGTACCTTATAAGCTCTTCTTGTATTAAAAATCAAACTTTGTTCAGTTTTTTGATCTATTCATTGATATGTGAGCATAATGTATCTGGAATTTAAGTATGGCTGGACTGGAATCAAATTGCAGTTTAATGTAAATATGCACAGAAAGGATAATCAATAAATTTTTGAATTAGCCTTTACTATCATAACCATAAATATACCTTTGGTTTTTTTCTAGCATATAGAATGTATTATCAACCACGTGAAATCTTTTTGTTTTTCCTTTAGTTCATGACCAGTTAAACGAAAGTTGAAGCTAAATATAAAGAGAATAAAAGTGAAATTATCATTTAAAAAAGTGAAAAAAGTATGGAGAGTATTTTTGGAACCAAGGAAAATGATCAGAATTTGTATAGTTTGGAAGTGATTCTGACCCCGGGCTAGGTCCAGTTCTCCCTGATAGTGAGCAACTCAGCTGTTTCTCTGCCCTGTGTCTCCTTTGTTAACTGACTCTACCAGCATTTTCAGGTAAACTTGCTGGAAACATTCATTGAGTAATCAATGAATCTTAAAGAATCAGCCACAGAGGTATTTTTATGTAAAATTATGCCCTGTTATTCGAGAAGGACATATTTCTGTACACGTGCATAATTACAAGTGTTTAGCTAATACTAGGTTTATGATAAATTCTTCCACCTTCATTTCTAAGATGGTAACGGTTAAAAGTTTTTGTTTTCTTTTTTTGTGGTGGCAAGTTATAAATTTACATTGGAAATGTATGAGAATTTCTGAAAGCTGTAGATTAACATTTATAACTTCACAGGAAATATTTTAAAAGCTCAACATTTGAATATTTTTGCATTAGTGAAGAGGCCTATTTAGTGAGATCTAAGGATGGATTATGAGTGTGGCTGTAATGCCCATTGAAAAATGAAGAAAGTGTAATGATTTAAACCAAATTTGAAAAACACTAACCCACAATCTATGTCTTACTTGCCTCCTGGTCAATATGATTTACAATGTATAATTAAAGAAGTGTTAAGTTTCTTTAAACATGTGCAGACGAAGCCTAAGATTCATGAAGGCTGAAGGTGTGAGTGACTTATTTAATACCCCTTCTGTTCAAACAGGCCAGTAAGGGCTCTTATTCTTGTGATGGTATGAAACATACATCTTTAACCTCAATAGCCTAATGTTCCTGCTATACTGAAAGTATTGAGCAAGGCAGTCTCGTTTAATGTAATGGTTTCTTTTCTGGCAAACAGAGCTTTATTTCACAACTGGGATAACCCATTACTCAAATCCCAGCAATAGAGTTTTCCATGACAGTCAGCATTTCTGGTTTCTGATAGTGACCTCTAAAGGGTGACAAGTTTCTCTTTGGCTTAATGCTAGTGAGTAGAAAACATCACCGTGAGGGCAAAGTGACCTTGCTTTCCTTACAGAGTTGGGCGAGTCACTCTTTAGATACAACAGAAAATGTAAAATATTTTAAAAGAGATATTTCATTCTCCTACCAGTGAGGTCAGAACTTAGTTTCCAATTTTGAGAATTGGAACAAGTTGCTACCACTTACTGTTACAAATTTCAAGTGAGGTAACGAGAAATGTGAGAAAAGTGAAAATATATGTATCTGACAGCTCTTGACAGCGTTATCATAGAAGGTCAACTTGATTAATGCCACGTGAAAATGAAAGCACACTATAAACCGTGAAAGCTCAGCCCCAAGAGTGTCTCACATCCAGACAAATCTGGCTGTAATGGCAGTTTCTCCACAACATAAACTGGGGGGAGGTAGGTGGGTATTTGCCCTTTGGTTTAGATGGCTACGTGATACAATACAGGCCAGGACCTATTGTTTATATAGATATGCAAATGTTGACCCCATTTCACATTTGAGATTTTATTAAATATGTTATCATTCAGAATAAAACTGTGCATCTAAGAATGTATATATATGTATAAAAATAAGATCTTTGAGCAGCTGAAATAGACGTCATTGAAGCTCATGCTTGAGAGAATCTGATGTGTGTCCCTGGGAGTTGGAGGACATCAGGGAGAACTGTGAAGGCAGGTGGTCAGCCTGCCCCGTGAGGAGACCACAGTTTTAAGATACTGAGAGTGTATTATGGCAGGTTCTGAGCCAAGGAAGGGTGGTGGGAAAAGGTGATACTGATGCCCATGGGCCACATAGGCAACAATACCTCTGCAGGGCCTTTGGAAGGGCACAGTGTTCTCCCCTCACCCGAAAGGAAAAGTATTGATTTGCCTGCAATATGGGATTTTGGCAATAGCTTGAAGATGACTGATAGTGGCACCATAAGAGGACTTGTTGCCTTCTGTCCTAGTCATCCTCCTGGGCTGCAATCCAGAGGTGCCAGAGCCCAGAAGAGAGAAGAGAGAGGAGAGAGAAGGCAGTTGTGGTTGTCAAGGTTGAGAATCATGTTGGACAAGGGAAAGCAAAAGAGACTTATAGAGCTTGTAGACTTAAATTTTAAACTGAGTGAAGTCAGCTGGGACTTTTGCACAAATGATTATAGTTGAAAAATCATGGAATCTGACTGAGATCACATTAATGGACAAGGAAGCAAGATTGATTTTTTGGAGCTGATTTGAAAACAGTGGTTATAAAGAAAAAAAATTACATTTCTGTTTTATTAAGTGAGGAATTTAATCTCATATCCAATACCCTTTTCTTTCCCTGAGTGGTTGTGTTGAATGAATGAATGCATGAATGAATGAGTTTGAACCTTATCGCTAACTGCAGTGTTAAATGCATGTTTTTCTACATTTAAAACAAAATCAAAGCCTCAATGAGCAGATGGTAGAAGCTTTTATTTTCCAAGAGACAAAGAGCCTGCTCATGCCCTTTAACTCACAGCAGTGGGAGGCTGCAGTCTCCCCCATGGGTAAAGTCAGCCTGAGTAAATCACAAATTGTCAGGAAAGCCCATCCACAGCTTTCACATTTAAAATTTTATTTAAATCATCAAAAAAAAAAATCCTGTCTTTCAGTGATCTATTTTGATATGTGAGAAAATTAATACTTTTATGTATTAGTGTTTTTGCTTTTATTAAAATGGATTAAAAAACCCATAGTCTAAAATGAATAATCAAGTTCATCAAAAGGGGAAACAAGGGTAGCCAAAATAAAATTTTAAAATCTCAATACTTGGTATTAGCATTGACAGAGCCTAAGTTCCACAAGGATTTAAATTTGATGATGTGGACTAAAATATGCCTACTGCCTTTATGCTGCACCTTTTATAAGTGTTATTCCAAGAAAAGCAGCGGAAACTATGCATGCTGTTTGTTATTTCACGGCATAGGATATTTGCTGTTACCAGAGTCTCATTGTTTGAAAGAGACTTTTTTTCTAATATGAATATGAAATACCTCCTTTGGAGTCAGAGGCATGCATTAATATCTATCATTTGCCTTTTAATGGGGCTTCTGGTGACTCCACAGTTTTAAATTTTTCTATATGTATCAAGTATTCTTGGCTGAACGTTCTTGCTATGTCCTCTACAAATATGGATGGAAATAATTATATGGAGGATGGCTTCATAAGGTGATGTCACTCCAGAGAAAACCTGCACCACAGGGAGCATTTCCAGCAAAGTATGGCAGAAACTGCAGGGTAATCAAAGTGCAAATTCCAATTTATTTAAGCAATATTGTTCTTGCTCCTCCATTTCACAAAGCTGTCCTTTCTCATTAAATTTTTGAAAGAGAAGGAATGAATTTCACCAGCAGAAATCTGAATGCTAGTTGACCTTTTTGAAAACTCTGCATGGAATGCCAGCATCAGCTGTCTTTTCACACACCACGTGGTGACAAAAGGAAGAAATTGAGGCTTATAAGGAGTAAGTCGAATATATGCAAGACTTGATGCCATCCAGCTAGGCTTTTATTTGAAAGGAGGTCTATGTATATTGAGGGGAGTGTATTTGTTGATGGCCCATGAAGAGCTTGAACAAGATATGTGTCTGAGGATTTCTGTGTGTTCTAGAGGGACATCCCAGGGCCTTGGTTGGATTTGATCAGGGCATAGGTGCTACTCCATAGCAAGTGCGTTTTGCTCTCTGGAGACAAACAGATGAATATAGACAGAGTTGATAACATCTGTATATTGGTGACAATCTGACGCAGTTAAGTGCCTTTGCTTATTTAATAGTTTATTCTTTTATCAGATTATTACGAACCATCAATGATGTATCAGCTGGCAATGTACTAGGTGGAGGGATGACAAACATCAAATAAAATTCAGCTTCTGCCCTTAACAGGCTCATAATTAGAAGAGGTTTTCTTATTAGTAGGCAGAACACTACAACTGAGTGTAATTCTGTGGTGGAAGGAGGCTCAGAGGGTGCTGTAGGAGTATCCTGAAGGAACCCTAATCCAGGTTGGTCAGAGAGGGAAGCTTCCCAGAAACAGTAATGTGTGATGTCTGATTTGAGTCTTTAATGACCAATCCATCAGGGAGGGGTGAGGCGAAAGGGTTTCAAAGCAAAGGAATGAATGTTTTCAAAGCACCAAATGTAAGAGAAAGCAAGGATAATAATAAAAGCACTTCCCTTTTGCTAGAGAGAAGGTGTGAGAATGAGGAAAGCATCAAATGGAAAAAAAAAAGAGAGAGAGAGAGTTTGTCCATTGAGTCTTACTTTCTATGTTGTGTTTAAAATATATGGGTTTTATAGTAAAGACTAGGGTAGCTATTGACATAATTGCTCTTAGCCTCATGCTCCAGGGGCCCTTGCTCTGGGACTCATGCTTAAGAAGGCCTGCATTTCATAGTCTCAAGAGGAGAAAATGTTATGAAAGAATACAAGGCCACTTCTATCTGTACTCAGGTTTTAGTACTTATTGCTGGCCCAGTTCAACACATCATTTCAAGCATCAGCTTTTGTGACTAACATTTAGTCCCCGGGCAAACACTTCTCTACATCTCTGGCACTGTGTATAGAGGGAATGAGGTCCGCACGCTGTGAGGGTCTATGGATATGCCACTGCCAGCCCTGGAAATGGACACTGCTTCGAAAATAGGAAGAACGTAAGAGGGAAAAAGTGGAGAGAATTTAAAATTTTAAAATATTTATATTAACTGATCACCAGTTCTCAGATAACATGCCTGAAGAGCATTCTTGCGTAACTAAGAACAATTTCCAAACAGGACAAAAAGAGGTCCATTTACTTGTTTCCCTTCACGTTCTAGTTTGTAGAAAAAAGGAGACAAGAATTAGGGTGGTATTTCCAAACTTTGCATATGAAGATTAAGAAATATTTTACACTGTTAAATATTTATAATTACTCAAAATATTTCTTTCTCTCTCTATATATATATATCCCTACACATACACATGCAATATATGCATAAATATATATATACATAAAACTACATAATTTTATGTTGAATGATAAAATGGCTTTATTTATATCAAAAGATTTAATTCTTAAACATTATAAAAATTTAAACTTTACTTTGAAATATTTTATTTAATATTTTGATTTATAATGATTTGTCTTTTGCCTTTTAATTTTATAGGCAATTTTGAATATTTTGAAAGAAAAGATTTTGAAAATATGAACAATAACTTTTTTACATTTAATTTACATCTTCAATGAAAATATATTCCAGTTTTGTATACTTTGAATACTTTCAATCTTTTATATCGTTATTATCTCTAGAACATTAATTATATACACATCTTCAACATGACATAATTAGTAATTTTTCTAAAATTGATATTACAGAATATATAATCACAAATACATTTTTGTGACTTACTTTTCATTTTAACATCATCAGACTCTAAAAAGAATACTCAGAAATGTACAATAATACAGTTTAGTTATTTTTACTTTGTCCCTAACCACATTCCTGCAACAAGCATAGCTTTACATGTATGTTGAGATTTTTTCAGTATGGAGGCATATTTTTCACAGAAGGGGGACATATTCTGTTTATCAGCTTGTTATATTGATTTATAGTTTGTATAGATTTAACTCTATGTTGTGGGTATCCATCTGTACTCTTGCCCCAGGCCCTGCAATGTGTTAAGAGTGGGTCTGGTTACTGAATATCTTCAGCAAGGGAGTAGCGTGATTGATACTGCATTTGAGGACGATTACTCCAGTGGAGACAATGACATCAGTTAGGAGGTTGAGCTACCTCTTCGTGAGTAGCGTTTTCTATCTGTAGCTGGAGCTTCTGAATGAACCCTCTGACTTCTTCCCATAGCCTATCATCTGAGAAGTTTTGAGCCCTGCAACTATAGGTTTCCTTGTCAGCAAGTTCCTGGCCATAGGCCTATCCATTTTCAGACCAGGCATTTTGACAGCTCAACCACATTTCTGGATAAATTGAAGGTCTTCTACTCTTAACTAAAAGGAAAATTGAGAATCCACAGGAGTCTATCTTGAGTTTCAAACCCAAGGTTCATGCAATATCTAACAACAACCATTAACCACAGAGATTGTTCAGGCAAAATAACAATGTTTTGAGTCCATAGCAAACTCATTGGCAAGAAAGCCCACCAGATTTGAGCAGCAAAATAAAGACAACTCTCATTTAGAGTATGTGAAACCTCCAACCTGACCACTACCCCAGGGGCTCTGTAAGGTTTCCCTCAATCCTCTCAGGTTGCAGTTTTCCACTCTGATCCACCACAGGCTCCTGTGGAGTCAGCCATCTGATGTCTTCAAGTAAGAAATACAGAAGAGCCAGGTGGGTTTGAGATGCTATTGCAAATATCCTGCATAGATTCGTTTTATGGGCAGAAGGGAATTAGGAGAACAGAAACCAGTTTTTTCTTTTTCTAAAGCACTTTTTATTCTGGCTTCGACCTAAAATTGAAGGGGAAGTCTCCTGCCTACTGTCAAGCTGAAATAAGTTGTAGAATGCAACCTAAACAACAGCCAGAGATTCTAATTAAAGTTTTTCTTAGACTGACACACTTAGAAAGCTTTCTTCTCTATTTTTATCTAAAGAAAAGTAGAGAAGTTAAATTTGATGGTGATGCCTTGATGACATCAACTTTCTAAAACGAGAAGCGAATTTTGTTTAGAAAACACACTCTGTATAATCTTAGAACGCTTTCGTTTTATCATGTTTGAGAGGAGAATGTATCTTGATGTGAATACTGAAGGTTAATGCATACTAAATTATTAACCAGGAGATGAAATTGAGTAGTTCTGATAAATTCAAGTTTATATGTATAAATGTATAATTTATGTATACATGCGTAAATTTACATATATGATAATATAGAGATGGGGTAGTAAAGTAGTATTTTAATAAACAATGTAATTTCTGTTTTCAATTTGCACAGAATTTATGAATTTCTCATCACATCAGTAGTAATTCTGAGATGGATTTAGGTAATTAAAACTAGATTTAAAATGATTTTAAAATCTATTACAGTGATTACTCTTATTAGCAGTTTTATTTTGCTCTAATACATTTTATTCTATTTTATGCACCACATCTCTCCATTTCCCATAGGAGTGAGAAGTGTCAGCATCATCAACTCCAAAGACAGCTTTATACAAGATTAGCATCTTCAACAAGAATGTCAGAGGCATGAAAATGAGGAAAATGTAATCACAATCACTCACTATGAATTTCCTGGGACAAAATTAAACTTAAATGGCAACAAAAGGTGAACTTGGTTAAAATGATTGATGGACAGTTCTTCCTTGCTAAATTTCATTCAAAATAGCATAGGTCATATCCAAGTATGTTCTCATCAAAGAGTGGATTGCGTTCTGGTCTTGGTCTTGGGTCTGCTGCTTAATCCATGTGGGAACTTAGTCAAGTGAAACTAACTTTTTCCTTCCTCAGTGGACTCAACTGTAAAATGGGTAGAATAACAGTACTTGTTAGGATGTCATCTAAGTGAAATAGTACTTACATTTAATTGTAAGAATTAAATGACATGGTATGAGTGAAGCACTCAGCACAGAGCCTGGGAGTAGTGAGCACCATCATATATATTAACCATTATTGTAGTACCTGGAAACTGTGTTTTACTTGAACAGCTGTGTTTTTCTTGTTACTTATCTACAATTGACCACACTGGATATTTGTTTTGAGCCATAATGAGGATGAAGTGGAAAGATAAACCCATTTATCCCTCCTATTATAATTGTAAAGAGTCATTTTTAGTGAACTTCAATTATAAACTCAGGGACAAGAATATTCTTTATGAGAGCAAAGAAAGAGAGCAGAGGCTGCAAAGAATTGTGTCCCACTTAGACATTCCCTCGCAAGCCCCAGAACAAAAGAAAATTGGTCGCAAACAACAATTCTTTTAGCCACCTGGATCATGTCTGGCCAGGATAGAAGAAAACGGTTCTTGTTTCACTAATGGAATTTTAAAAGCATTGCTCCCAATCTTTCTGTGGGTAAGTTTAGACTCAGTAGAGAGCTCAGCCTGATGTGCAACAAATCTGGAGTTGTTGTGTGGCTCTCTTAGATGCCTGAATACATTAAAGGTGTGTAGCCCCAACTGAGAGCCTTGCACAGTAAGCACATGAGGGCACAAGCCACAGAATGGAAAACTCACAGCTTAGCAATTTGGGATATTTATTTTGTCTACTTTTAAAATATTTAGTCTGGAATATTTAAACTAATATTTGATTGGTGTACACACTTGTCCAAATTTACAGCAGCTGACACTGCATGGAGCTTTGGAGACGCAGGTTCACGGCTAGCTGATTGTTTAGAAAGCTCATATGTGAAAAGCCAGATCTTTCTGCGAATGTAGATAAAAAGTGGGTCAAGCCAAGTTTATGGAAAATGAGATAATGGGAGATTCGGAGAATATTCCCATGGGGGCCAGTTTTTCTGATGTCCAACTGAACTACATATTAATGAAGGATGAAAACCTCTCACAACTGATAAGCAGGCTGTCTCCTGGCAATTATCATAGCTTCTGTTGCAAAATAGGTACATTATTTGGACTTTATCCATTCCTTGACTTGCTCTCTGTGAGGAAGCACAGTCTCAAATAATTGCAGGTCTATTAGCACATCAATTACCTAAAGACCTTGATTTTAGCAAGGAGTGGATTTTAATCAATTGCTGCAAATGTTATCGAGAGATTAGTTGTCCCAGAGAATAAAATTAACTACAATTAGACTGTAATAACTTGTGAGTGCCACTAGCATCTATTTTCTAGTTCCTGTACAATTAATGCATTTTACTGCTTCCTGTATAAAAAACATTTAGACTTTTTCATAATAACTTGAATTAATGTTACCTTTTTAATTTCCTTCCTTGTAAGGAACCAAAAGGACACAACTAAACTAATACATAAATAACTTGCACTTTAATATATTGAGTTCTTACTAAACAAGACAATTTAAGATAATTAATAGAAACTAAAGAGTTTATTAAAGCAGAATTTTATTTCAGTCCTGAAATTGAATCCAGTGTTTTTAAAGCATTAGTGATTGGACAGAGGGAATGATGGGGGGAGATAAGAGAAAATACATCACGGTTCAGTGATGGTCAATTGAGGTAAAAATGACAACATGGCCGATCTGGGGACATGTGAACATTCAGTCATGCATCCAGAAACACCTGAGGAGGGAACTGTACTAGTCTGTTCTCATGCTGCTAATAAAGACATACCCAAGACTGGGTAATTTATAAAGGTAGGAGGTTTAATTGACTCACAGTTTCACATGGCTGGGAATGCCTCACAATCATGGTGGAAGGCGAATGAGGAGCAAAGTTATGACTTACATGGCGGCAGGCAAGGGAGCTTGTGCAGGGGAATTCCCATGTATAAAACCATCAGCTCTCGTGAGACTTATTCACTACCACAAGAGCAGATGGGGGAAGCTGCCCCCTATGATTCAATTATCTCTACCTGGCCTCACCCTTGACATGTGGGGATTATTACAATTTAAGGTGAGATTTGAGTGGGGACACAGCCAAACCATATCAGGAACTTATTAAAGTGTTGCACTTGCTGTATTCAAAGTGAATGAGAGACTATTATGGTGTCTATATAATTTACTTCTAAATACTTTGACACATACTATGCAATATAAAGCATGTGCTACTTAGTTTGAACTTCAATTCTAGGGCCAGTCACTTTCTCTGATCAAGAATCGACACTCCAATGGTGGTAGCTAGCATTATATGAGGAAGGCTAATTCTAAGGGTGGCTACTAAAAGCCCCATATCTTAAACAGCACCTGAGGATATGCTAATTAGCATAGTGAATGTCAGACATGGATTTGTTCAGTGTACTTGTGGCCTGTTATTTAGCAAGACTGGTAGAACTGCACTCTGACTGATTAGATGACATGAAAATTGTCTCAGAGATGTGACTTAGCTAAAATCTTTTTGTTGATATTACAAGGACTTGCATGGACAGCATGTAGGAATTCAGGGAGACTCAAAACCAGCTTTCTCAAGGATGGCCCTGATGCTTGATTCCTTAAAGGCTCTGTGGCTGGTTCTCGATTGCTTGGTATGATAAAAGTCACAGTTTCCCACCTCCAGAATGTTTTAATATCTATTTTGAGTGAAACTTTCATGTAGGGTGGTGGTTGCAGCATCTACACAGGCAGAAGGTGAGATTTTGTGTAATTATTTCAGGTTTGATTGCACATAAAAAGTTTAATATATTCAATATTTGTAGCAGAACTTGGCTGAAAACTTACTTTCATTATAACCTGGTAAAAGGTTGTAGAGGAATAGCGAACTTCCATTCACCTCAAATTGTTCAGTGATTAACTTTCTTCACCAAAAATAATTTAAGAGTTGTTCTTGTCTAAATTGGCTGAAGACACTTTGCAGCAGTACATCGGATTATTCCTGTTTGGGAAATAGGTAACAGTACTTACTCCCTTTGAAGACTGCAAAGTTCAGATATATGTAAGTTCACTTACGATCTTCCTAGTGTTGTAGGAGGACTCCAATACTTTGAGGCTAAAACATGAATTTTTAACCTAAATATTGACCCTGGATGTGTAAAAATTATTAGTTTTGTGATCCAATAACAGAATTTAGTACTTACTTCATTTTTGAATGTAGACAAACTACATATTACAGGTGCCTATAATTTTGTTACCAATATGAATCACAGAAATTTTTCATGACATCTTATGGTTGTTATACATAACTCTAAAGATTATTTAGGATCATCACCACTTGAAAATTATGGTAGTTATTAGAGCAACTGCTAAATCTCTTTGTTTAACATATCAGTAAATAATGCTAATTACTACATTGTTAACTTTTTTCTTATATTTTGAAATTTAATTTCAGTATAATTGGCTTTCTTCTTCATTCTATGTATTTTATGAATTTAAAAACATTATTTGGGGAAGGGGATCAGTAGAAATCGCCAGACTGAAAAGGGCTTCATGGCACAATAAAGAGTAAGAACCCCTCACCCAGAAGGTTCCTTCAATGCCAATACCATTCCCAAAATTAATCCAAGTTGCCTGAACTATTTCCTTGTTTATGTGATGTCATAAAAGTGAATGATGTGCATGTATCTGTGTGTGTAGGATGGGTTGGGTTGAACTGTCATAAATTAAAAAATAAGGGCAGCCAGTGTGGCAGATTCAGGAAAGGAAGATAATGGAGTAAGAGTAAATTTGTTGTAGGTTTTCTTAAAAATCTTTTTTCCATAACATCGTGCTGCATCATCAATTAAAAGGAAAAAAAAGGCTTATTTTCCAGTTTGTTGGATAGAGGAAGAAAATTTCATGGGGAACCATTTATTAAGTACCTTAACCTGACTTCTCTCCTGCCTCTACATATCCTCTTATGGGCAAAGAGGCTCATGACTAACATAGGCATTTGGGATAAAGGATACACAGCTATATTATTGGACCACAGACTTTAAGGCCTTGGGCCAACCACCTCAATGTTCTGGGTTTAATTTTAGTGGAGAAAAAAGTATCTGACAGCACTTTTGACTCCGCTTCCTTACCTTCATATGTGTGTTGCTCAAATTAGAAAGGGGTTTCCTGATCCTTGACTGCACTAATGTAGAGGTGTCTATGCATGGCAGGTCTTCCTGGAGAACCCTTGATCTGCTCATTTGTGAAACCTGGAGAAAAATGATTGAATGCCAGTGAAGTCATGGATAGGACTTTCATAGGTCTTGTTTGACTGCTCAGACATAAGTCTTATTAATATCTGTCACTGGAAACCTTAGTGTGGAAAAGCAAAAGCTATGAACACTGACTTGTCAGGTTTGAGTCCTGACTATGCATGTCCCTTATTAGTTAAATGACTTTATGCAAGTCACTTCCTCTTCTAAAACTTCAGTTTCCACATCTATGAAATGGCAGTCATCATCATCATCATCATCATCATCATCATCATCATCATCATCTTTATCATTTCGTCTCCCTTTTGGGATGCTGTGAGGTTTAAATCACATGCAGATGATATCTAGCATAACGTACTTATGGAATGCGGAATGTGAATGACTCCATATTCATTCTTTTGGAGTCAAATAGCTCTTGGATGCTCAATAGCCTCTACTAGGGCAAATTTGCTCTCTTGGAAAAGCCTGTTGAAAGAAATTTTCTTTTGTTTCTCATATTTCTTTTTCTAAAAGTGTGGGGAAGAGCTACAACTTGTCTTTATTGCCATTTCAGTGAATAAAGACCAAGTACTTCATGGTAGAGATTAATGGTCTGAGGGAACACAGTAAGATTAAGCAGCAGAAACACAGTGCCTTATTTTCTACATAAAAACATATTCTTTCATTTATTCAGTCATTCAATAAACACTTCTTCATTTCAGATTGTCATATCAAAAACCTGGGAAAAATAGGGTAGAAAAAACAAAATGTTTGTTGATAGGAGCTGTGGTCTTTTTCTTCAAGTAGCTTCCATTGTAGTTGGAGAAAGAAGACATCAATTAACATTGTAATTGGAGAACAAAACATTATCAAACATAAGTGTTTCTGAAAAACTCAAGTATCTTGTTCTTTTATATCTTTCTGCATCTCATGAATTGCTATACTGTCCACATTGCTCTCTCAATCTAAGAGTTCTCTTTGTTCCTTTTTTAAAATTTCTTTACATTTAATTCATTAGCAAATCTGCTCTTTTTCACTCAGAGACATAAAGTGAACCCAATCATTTCTAGACCAAGACACATTCATTGCTTCCCTGGATGACTGAAATAGGCTCCTAGAGCATCTCCTTGCTTTCAATCTTCCAAAATCAATTATCCACACAACAGCAAGAGTGATGTGTAAAAATATATATAATATAGATCATGTCACTTACCTGCTTAAAACCATCTAATAATTTCCCTTCTCATTTGGACTAAAACTCCAATGCATTAACCTGGCTTTCAGAGCCCAGCAGGAGATACTCATGTGTCCTCTCTGTTTCTCTCATCATCTTCCAGGCTCTCTCCCATTTCAGGGTCTTCACGTTAGCCATTCCCTCTGCCTCTTACTACCCTCCCCTTTGATATTCATAATTCACATTGCTAGCTTTTTTAAAATGTCATTCAGTTTTCAAAGAGATATTTTATGTGCATTAGATCACTTGGCATCATTTCAACTTATTCTAATTCTCTGTTTTGCAATTATCACTATTAGATTTTTGCTTGCTAGTTTATCCTGTGTACCAAGCACCATCTAAATCCTTATGCATTTTAGTTGCATCCCCTTCTCGGTGATCTCCTGTGCTCCTAGAGTTTCAATGAACATCCACATGCATGATTCACCATGGTGGGAACCTTGCCTCCTCTTATTCACTGTTGTATGCCTAGATTTAGCACCTGGTGTAGCACATAGGAGGAACTCAATGAACATCTATTGAATGGATGATTGATGATTCCAAGATCTGTCTATCATTCATAACCTTCCCCTGGACTTCACAGCCATTAACGGCTACTCGATGGAAATACAGGGATTAAAAAATTGTGTTCAAAATGGAATTTATCACTTTCTCCCAAACTGTCATTTTTATTTGTGCTCTGTACATCAGTGAATGTTACTAGCATCTCCAGCATTGCCTGAGCCAGTAACACTGACTTAATGGCGATCCTGAGCAAATCTCTCCTCAGCCTAAAACATTTTAATGGTTACCAATTGCTAGTGGGATACTATAGTTCTAACTCTTTAACAGGCCCTTCCAAGGTCTTCATGAGCTAGAACTTCCTTCTCTAGTTTTATAGCTGTCAACTACGTCTATACTCCTGCATCCCTCCATATTGTCTCTGATGCTTCCATATAAATGCCTGCTCCTATGTAAGTTGCCATGCCTTCTGATCCCTCAGACTATAACACACTTCTCCTCTCCTGCCCCCACCAGCACCTGCTCATGCCCTGCCCTGATAGCAACCCCATGCAAGCCTCTCCTCCTTGAAAACTTCCCATCCCTTCTCAAGATTCATTTGCTCTGGGAAATGAGCTGTCTCTCTTGGCCTCCCTGGCATTCTAATACACATGGTTCTGACTCAGGATGCCTGGAGCAGAGTCCTGAGAATATGTATTTTTAAAGAGCCCTCCAGGTGATATGCATGCAGCACTATCATGAATCATCATTTAGAAAATACTAACACACTAGATTGTAGTTGTCCATTTATTTGTCTGCATTCTCCACTAACCTGTGAGTTCTATGAGGCAGGGAACATATCTATCTTGTTCACTTTCTAAGAAACACTTACTCTGGCAATAAAAGACACTCAATAAATATTTGTCAAATTATTCTGAAACCTTTGTGACTCCTCTTTGACTAGCCAGGGGCTCTGTCCTGTAACTGTAGGGTTGGAAGGTAGGAGTTTCTGGGTAAATGAAATGTAACTAAGCCATTTTAGTAGGACCTGTCTCATACCAACTTATCATCATATTATTCAAATTTCTCCCATGGCATTGAAATCATTCCTAGAATTGTTCATGAGACATATATGAGAGCTCAAATCCTGAATGCTAATTGTTCCTCATTTTTTATATAGAAATGAAAAAAAATTGCTAAAAGTCAAAGCCAATATTAGCTTCCTTGACATATCATTATTCCTTATTCTTGACCAATATTTACTAAGTGCTTCTTTTGAGAATAACATTGTAGAATATGTGTTAAGAATAAATTGTTAAGTATAAATGTCATTACAAAAGTCCAGGTAAATGTCAAGGTAAATGTAAGTAATGTTGAATTAGATGGAACTTTACACACACACACACACACACACACATGCACATTTTAAGCTGGGGTAATATTGTTGCCTGTGAATGTTAAGTAATATTTTTCCAAGCGTTATGCTGAAAGTAACTTGAATGTTGTCAGTTGAAATAGAAATGAAATGCTTTCCCCCTTAACGACTATTTTTTCTGTGTAGCCCCTTGTGTTCTACTTACCAGTTTCCACGAATCATCATAGTGCAGCTTTTTAAATTTTTTTGTCATTCCCCTTCTCTCTTTGTCTCCATACAAATAATAAAAGGTATCTTAAACTATGTTTGAAAATCAATCCTAATCCTTGTGTTTTTAAAATGACATAATTAAATATGATTACTCCAGGGTGTTTCTATGACTCAGAAATCCACATAAGATAAAAAGAATTGCTCAGATAATTTACATGACTTTCTACTTTCGTATTCAGGATGAAATCTGTCTGTCTTCAAATTACACAGGATAGTCAATTCCTTAAAATATTTGTATCTGACTATTAATATACATAGTTAAGGTAGCACAATTTGATAATTTACTAAAGTATAAAAAGCAACCCATAATGCCATATGTGGCAATAATCATGGTTAATATCTGATGTTTCTACTTCTTTTAAGGGAATGCAAAATAAGACTTCTCCTCAACTGATATCCTCTATCAGCCAGTGGAATCTGCTTGGAATACTGTTTAGAGAAAGGCAGGAGCCAGCTTCTCAGCCCAAATGGAAAGATAACTAATGATTGGTTAGGAAAGGTTAACACGGCCATGGGTGGTGGAAGGGGCGCTGTAAATGTGTGGGAACCATGCCATGTATTTGCTCTCTCTGATGTTAATATAATAGCCATGTGAACATGCATAAGTAAAACTTGTTTTTTAGTATAAATAAGGCTAATTCTTAAGATTATATAGTGAAAGTATTCAGAAAGCTTTCAAACCCTCCTGCTCAGCCTGTAATGTCCTCTTAAATGTGGAGAGTTAAGTATATTTATTGAATTTACAGCATTAACAAATGTGCATTTTATTTGGTATTCCCTCTGCCATGGGCATGCGCTTTCTATTAAGTGCATTCTTTCTCGAAAAATACATATTTCCTGCTAAACGCTACCAAACATGTGGGATTCACCTATTAATTATTACCTTTTAAAACATACTTGCTATTCTTTGCTTAGTGTTTTGCTCAGAAGAGAGAAAAAATGAAAAGTGGAATAGAGGAAGGGAAAAAAGGAAAAAGGGAAGAAGGGAGAAAGGAAGAAA
The DNA here is from genome assembly GCF_000001405.40 of Homo sapiens. Lineage (NCBI taxonomy): Eukaryota > Metazoa > Chordata > Mammalia > Primates > Hominidae > Homo > Homo sapiens. The sequence goes on from NC_000006.12 coordinate 22,598,175, forward strand.
AGGTGGAAGGAAATGAGACAGCAACCGAGGAAGAGAAAATAGAAGTAGGAATCTTAAAAGGGAGGGCAGAACTCACAGATTTAGAGAGATTAATTGCAACAGCAAATCCCAAGCGAAAGGGAAAATGAATCCTTAAAAGGAAAGTGGAGAAGGCTAACCCCCCTCAGACAGTCTTCTCTGGGGATGCTGACTGGACACTCTGCCCTCCTGCAATCGATATGGTCATTTACAGTTAAGCTAAGGGAAAAGCTGATGGGTAACAGGGATCCCCACCTCCATCCACTCCCATGATCGAAGCTGTGGGAGTAGCACAGGAAGAAGTCTGCAGATGGGTGAATGATGTCACAGAGCTGAGGTGGAGATGGGAGCCCTGAGAGAATGGAAAGGCAGCAGCTCAAGTACTTCTCCTGTTGTGGGTGGGGCCCTGGTGAACTGAGTTTAAATTAGCAGACCCAGAGGCAGGTCAGACACCAGACAGAGGAAGTGGCAGGAAGAGCTATGGGAATCTGAGCTGCAGGAGATTTTCGGTGTCCCATAATCACAGACCAAAGAAGCGAGATGAGGGTCAGTGGCCTGCTCGCTAATGTGCCAGGGGAGAGCTGAGAATCCTTGAGCTGAACAAACACTTTGTTAATAGGAAGAAACATAGGTGGAAGAAACATAGGTGGAAAAGCGTTGGTGCTAGATTTTTGCATGTTAGCTAATATGCCAGAGGTGAAATTGTGTTCAAAACCTGTGGCTTCGTGGAGATACTACGTGTACTCTGCATTTTGCTTTGAAAAGGAAAGTATATTAATGTTCACCAATATAGAGGAGCCAGTGGCTTCACCTTAAAGATTTTGATAGTGCTTTCTAGTTACAAAGGACTGTAGACAGAAAGTCACTCTTCTAGCCTATGGAGCGTCCACCTCATAAAAGTAGAGTCTCAAACAATTGAGAAGGACTAAGCTGAAAAGCTGATAGCGGCTTTGAGAGAGGTGGTGGGGATTGAGAAGGTTGCCCCCAAAGCGAATACTGTGAGGCAGCAATGATTAGAATGGTTGATGAATTTTAATAAATTCCTCCCTATTCTGACTTGCTTCTCATTTCTTTGGATAGCAAATAATGAAAATTTAAAAATATATAAATTAACCTGTTTGAATGACAGCAGCATGGATGCAGTAGAAATAGCTCAGGGCGAGGTTAGCTTTTGAATATTTGCTCTGATTCTTACTTTAATTCATATAGTTGTTATAATGATTAAAGAGTGCAGTATGTAAATTCTCCAGTACACAGAGGACTTACAATAAATGTTAGCTCTCATCTTCTTCTATTTATTCTAAAAGTTTAACCTTAGTTTATTGGCTGATATGCGCGAGGGTGAATTTTCACCAATTGATAGTTTTGAGAGCTAAATAAAACTGCTCTTTTACAATAAGCACTAAGTCTAATGAAAATCCTTAGATGACTTCATCCCCTTGACTTTTTACAGTAAAATAAAATAATAGTAACATATGCAATGGACATTTAGTCTCCATATAATATTTTTGAAATCAAATTCTATAAGTAAAGGCTGGTATAGCAAGGCAGGAAGGAGATGGCACACTCAAACAAAATGAAATTAATGTAGGGACTTTTTGTAAAGGTGTGGCAAGGTTAAGAGAGCTAGAGAGAACCAAAGCCAGAAGACAGGGTAGCCCGAGAGGAGGTGTGGTCCTCTATGGAGGAAAGCAGCCACTGTTGGCCAGCAGTTGAGCAGGGAGAGAACTCAGGACATGCATACCCTGGCCTCACTCTGTTCCTGCCAGATCCTCCCATTAGTTGAACTCATTGAGAAGCAAGCTTGGTTCATCCAGAGTGAATCTGGAGGAGGAAGCAAATGTTGTCCAGCATAGTTGTGTATGTGTGTGTGTGTATTCACACTCACACACACACACACACACACACACACACAAAGTCGAAAGCAGCTCATTCCAGTAACTCCCACTTGAGTCTTCACCCCTGCCAGCGTAAGGTTAAATGCTATAACGTGATTATTTGGGCTCGGAAGACAAATAACTGAGGTAGTTAACTATATCAGGACAAAAGGTCAGAGCAGTGATTCATCATATAATTTTCAACTTCTTAGGCACTGCTAGGATAGCTGGGAAATGATTTAACAAGCCCCAAATTCAGTCTCTGCTCTCTAGAAAAAAGGAAGGATGACTCCAAACTGAGATCAGATGTGAGTGGGTTAAAATTCCATCTGCTTCTTGAGAAGGGCTGAAATGAATTCCCCAGTGAACAGGCCATCTATTATTTACCTTACTTAATCCAGTGCTCATGGCACTAGAAGTTATCACCACGGGGATTTGAGTTTGGCCTTTTGACTAATAACTTTCTTGGGAGGGATCGGTTTTGCTCTGAGAGGAGGACTGGATGTTCCACTAGGTGAAAGCTTTCAGATGTTAATGAAATTGGATTCATCCCTGACCTATTTCCTGGTGCTTGGTGTTTCACCTGAGGGTGAACTCCAAAGATAGCCAATTTGGAGATAATGTCCTATGCACGCTTCTGACATTTGTTCTACAAGAGAAGCTAAGCAACTTGTGATTTCATGTACAGCAAAGATGGGAGGCTGGGAGTGTTGGCTAACTTCTGTAATCTCAGCACTTTGGGAGGCTGAGGCAGGAGGATTGCTTGAGGCCAGGAGTTCCAGACCAGCCTGGGCAACATAATGAGATGCTGTCTCTATAAAAAATAAAAATATTAGCCAAGCATGGGGGTGTATGCCTGTAGTCCCAGCTACTTGGGAGGCTGAGGTGGGAGGATTGCTTGACCCTAGGAGTTTGAGGTTATGGTAAGCTATGATTGCATCATTGCATTCCAGCCTAGGGGACAAAGCGAGATCATCTCTCTTAAAAAAAATATGGTAAGTAGCTGTTCATATTTTCAAATGAATTGAGAGAAAATATGAAATCTGTAATTTGTGAGGTAACATTTAGTCAAGACTTTTCATTTGCAGGGATCTGGATTAACAAAGAAAACTAATCTCTGAGTTTGGGAGCACTAGAGATGATAATCTCAACTAAACCTAGAAAACTTACCCAAGAAATCCTTTTTCTCCTTAGGCTAGAAATATGTGGAGCTGTGGAGGCAGCAAACCATAAATGTCATACAAATTCTTGGAATCAAAGGAATTTTCTATATCATATATTGGCAATGTTAAGTTGATATGGTTTGGCTGTGTCCCCACCCAAATCTCATCTTGAATTGTAGCTCTAGTAATCCCCATGTGTCATGGGAGGGACCCGGTGGGAGGCAACTGAATCATGGGGGTGAGTTTTTGCCAAGCTGTTCCTGTGATAGTGAGTAAGTCTCACGAGATCTGATGTTTTTTTAAAGGGCATTTCCTCTGCACACATTCTCTTGCCTGCTGCCATGTAAGGCATGCCTTTGCTCCTCCTTCACCTTCCACCATGATTGTGAGGCCTCCCCAGCCATGTGGAAATGTGAGTCCCTTCAACTCTTTTTCTTTATAAATTACCCAGTCTTGGATATTTCTTCATAGCAATATGAGAATGGACTAATACAGTAAATCATACTATTTCTTGTAATTAAATTTCTCTTCAGATCACCTTGAGATGAGCCCACATTTTATTTCAGATATTCCATAGATTTTTATGAATGCAATGATGATGCTATCAACCACAAAATTCCAAGAAATTAATTGCCTGGTAAAAGTAACAATGGGCACCCAACTGGGTGTTACTATAAAACATTTTAGAGAATGTTATATACATTGGGAAGTACATGTGTTGATACTTAAAAGGTATTTCACTTCCAAATTTTCTCAAATAGAAATATGCTTCTACATAATGTTCCAGAGTAGGCTTTTAAAAATACAGGCATTAATTTTATGTTTTGTTCAATGCCCTACACGTGTGTTTCCTCATTTCAGTTAAAATAAAACCCAAGCCAGTCATCGTGGTTTAGAAGTCCCAGCATGATCTGGTTCTCACCTCATTTGGTGCCACGTTCCCTCTCACTATACTCTGGCTGTAACTGAGCTCCCTGTTGTTCCATGCCAACCTTGTTCTCGCCTCAAGGTCTTTATGCCTTCTGTCTGCTCCATCTGGATGGCTCTCGTCTCATCTCTTCATTTGACTCTCTTCATCTGATCATTCAGGTGCATGTGCAAGTGTTTTCTCTGCAGACAGTACCCCTGAAGTCCTTATAGAAACTAGTGACCCATTCTAGTTCGCCTTGATCCCTGATCTTGATTTGCATTTTCCTCAGAGCATACAAGGTATCATTAACTATTTTTTTATTTGTTTAATATATTCTTATGGTTTGTCTTCCCTGTACATTGTAATCAGCTTGAGGACAAATACTTGTTTGGTAATGGCCTTGTGACACATAGAGGAACAGCTGGAAAAAAATCATACACACACACACACACACACACACACACGATTTCTAAATAAATAACTCTTGAAAGAATGGTGCTTGTACCTCTGCATGGAAGCCCTGCATCCTGAGTCCTTTTCTGGTTTTACCTATAACCTCAAAACAAACATGACTTCGATTAAGTTTTCATATTTTTAAACTTTAGCTTGCCACTTATAAAATATTACAGTGAAACCCGTCTCTACTAAAAATACAACAAATTAGCCGGGCGCGGTGGTGGGCACCTGTAGTCCCAGCTACTCGGGAGGCTGAGGCAGGAGAGTAGCTTGAACCTGGGAGGCAGAGCTTGCAGTGAGCTAAGATCGTGCCACTGCACTCCAGCCTGGGTGACAGAGCGAGACTCCGTCTCAAAATAATAATAATAATAATAATAAAAATAATAATAATAATAATATCAATTCTTGACTTTCTCTGAGAGTCACACTTTCCACAAGTATCTTGAAATTCTTACATGCAAACTGCTTTTTATGTCAAAATTATGTCTGACACCATCTGAGAGCTGCGAGATGAGCTTGATAAATGTTTGTGTGTTTGAGTAGCAAACTTTAACCAGTGTTGTTAGATACAACTGGATGCCCCTTGACTTAACAAACCTGCCCTTCATACCTCGCATGATAAAGTCTGTGCATTGTGAAGTAAAAGGACATTTCTTAGTCAATATTTATTTTTCTTGTGTTTGTATCGTATTGCTCTCCATGTGAGTTTGTTTTCATGGAGTAAATGTGTCGATCATATTGACACAGATATGGCCTATGAAACAGTTGTATTTGCTAATTTAGACTGATAAACTGGCATTCTCTTTTCCTATCTGACTCTCTTGGCTTGATAATATGAATTAGTCCTTAAGAGAGGAATCACTGTTTTTGATGTGGACAAAATTGGTCGTTTTTGACCAGGGCATTCTAGTGCTACCTTATGATGGATTAGAGTAGGCCACCAGTCTGCTTTTACAAGGTGAACACCATATCTAACTGTCACTCAGATCAACAGCTTCCCTCTCATCCTCAGTCATTTGCCTCCAAAAGCCACAACAGATTTTTATTTTTATTTTTTAATTAATTTTTTTTAGAGACAGGTTCTCTCTCTATTGCCCAGGCTAGAGTACAGTGGCATAATCATAGCTTGCTGTAACTCCTGGGTTCAAGTGATCCTCCCGACTCAGTAGCCTGAGTAGCTAGGACTATAGGCACACATCACCACGCCCAGCTAATTTTTTTTATTTTTATTTTTTGTAGAGATGGGATCTCACTGTGTTGACCAGGCTGGTCTTGAACTCTTGGGCTCAAGCGATCCTGCCACCTTGGCCTCCCAAAGTGCTGGGATTACAAGTGTGAGCCACCATGCCAGGCCTCACAGATTAGTTTTTTTGGCTCTTTCACTTCTTATGAGTAGAATAATGTACTGTGTACCTTTTAGAGTGATTTCTTGATCAATATATTTATCCATCTTTGCATGTAGCAGTATTTCTTCTATTTTCCTTGATGTACGGTATTTTATTGTCCATTATCAAAATTTCTCTTTACTTATTCTATTGTAGATAGACATTGTTTATTTCTCTTTACTTATTCTATTGTAGATAGACATTGTTTTTATTTCCAGTTTGGGGTTTTTATAGAGGATGCCATGAACATTTTGTATATGTCTGCTGGAGTTCATATATAAGCCTTCCTTTTGGATATATGCCCACAGCTGGAATTGCCGGGTATGTATGCGTGTTCAGATTTATCAGATACTGCCAAGCAGTAATCAAAAGTAGTTGTAACAAGGTGTACTCCCACTGACAGTGTGTGAGAGTCTAATTTCCTCTATATCCTTTTAATTTTAGCCATTCTGGTGGATGTTCAGTAGTACCATGTCTGATTTTAATTTTCTTTACTTTAATGACACATGATGTTAAACATCTTAGGATACACTTATTAACCATTTGGAAATTTGAAATTATATTATCCATTTATACAGATTAGAAAAAGGTCTCCGTTTCTCAAAATTCTTCAAAGCCATCTGCTTGGAAAACTGTCGTAATAGCCTTCCAGAGCTACAATAACTTGAAGGTACATGACTACACCTGGACATGATCAACACATAGCCTGATCCCTAGGGTGACTAACAGTCTGTGATAGACAGACAACAGTCACTCAACCTATGTTAAAAACTCACCTCAGAGATTTATATTGACCAAAGCAAAGAGAGATCTTGATCCTTATATGATTCTCCAGGACTGTAGGAACTAAAGTAGAGCAGGTAACCCTGAAAGATAACCCTGGCACTGAATTCTGGCAGGAAAGTTTCCCATGAAAGGAGGGGCTTGACTCAGAGAGTATGCACCAGGGGTGGTTTTCAAAATAATTTTATGACCTGTATAGCATAGGCACTGAGTAGTCATATGAATCCCAACCACAACAGACTGACAGCTCAATGGATGCATGCCACAGTACTTTGATCCTGAGTACCAGGACAATAGGGACCAACAGGAGACGGCAGGTATTTAAGAAAAAAGGGATACACAGACACACAGACACACACACACACACACACACACACACACACAGATATGCTATAAGTAAACACATTTCTTCACAGTTTTGCTTAGAACTGGGCCTTAAGTTCAGTATTGAAAAATTGGTTAGTAAGTTATGTTGTTAACCAATATCACTGATCCACTGTGTAAAAATACACAGATCAACATGTCTACCTATAAGCAAATGTGCTGATACCTTTAAATTAGGAATAATATCTTCCTCATTAGTTCTAATTTTTTTCAGACAATATAGGTTCCCATTTGAAAATCAATAAAACCTATTGTCAACAGAAAGTATTTTGGGGGGAAAATTAAATGAGTGCTCATTTAAAGTTTCAGATTCATTTTACATTCAGTGAGATAAGAAATGTGAGACATGTAACATAAAAATATTTTCATTATATGAATATTTAGGTAGATAAAACACCATTTAAATGTTGCTCCGAATTCAGAACAGAAGCTACAGTCATCCTTACCAAAATTTTAAAAATCTTCTATTTGTCATGTCTGATAACCTTTAGTTTTTTCATCAATAGTGTGATTTGATAAGTGAAAGCTTATAGTATATAAAATATTTTCATGAGATACATTTACATACAAAAACTTCACTGAAAAGTGATCTATATTCAGAATATAAGCTATAGTCGTATTTATAAGCCTTACCAAAATTTTTAAAAAGCTCATAATAGTGTAGTGACAAATCTCATGACCTTTCGATTACCTACTGCATTTGATTTTATTTTTAGTACTTTCAGTTATCTTCCTGATACTCAGATATTTTACAGTGAATTAATTCTGATGTGGAAGAGTTTCATCTTCCTTGTAGGGGGTATGAGTCATTATTCCTTTCATCTTATGCACTGTGTTTTTCCATAGTCATTTGACTAATAATGAACTATTTAAGCATTTCTGAATATAGAGAGTAGGCACCAGTTTGATGGTCATTTATTTGGAGTCAGGAAAATGATCTTATAATGTTAGTGATTATGTTAATTACTTCAAAGGGATGGATTTAGCATCCAAGTGGAGAAATTGAAACATGAGAAACTCATAATGTTGCTAAAACACACAAAGTGCATCTATAAATAATTTAGCTTTATGTTTATGTAGCATTAGAAAAATAAGTTAATTGAAATTATAAAGAATATTTTTAGACTGAAATTTGATTTACTTTTATATTATCTGTATTTACCTTCATTATTCTGTAAGATTTTCTTTGTTTGAATTTTGATATCAATATCTTATGTGCAATTTTGTTGCTTTCCACTTCAAAACTTAAATAAATCGTTGCCCTTAATATTACCTTTATAAGCCAGACATTTCAGTCCCTTTGAGAAAACATGAGCATCTCTAGGTCAGCTTGCTTTTATAATAGTCTTGGGAAGCCCAAAGGCTGCATATAAATAAGTGTATTTGAAAGCCTATGGCAGAGTGGTGCATAATGTGTAGGTAATGACTGAATTCTCAATTCAGGCTGGCCAACAAACTAGGAAATGAACATAGCTAATTTAAACAAGATCTGGTGGAGGGAACAAAATTACTTACCGATACTCTTCTTAAAATGGGTTGTGCATGTTATTTAATTATTACTACCATTGCTCTGAATTAATTAAGCAATCTCAGCCTTGCTACACATTCTGAAATAATAGAGATGTGGTACAGGGCCAGCGGTTGACAATCTACTTAAACTGCCAGGAAAATAAACATGGGCCAATTGGCCTCAGTGAGAACAAGGCAATTGGACTGGAAAGATAAAAGAGACTTGGAAACACTCTCCATGGGCAGTAATGGGTAACAATATTTGGTTATTTTCCTCACTATATACGTTGGAATGGATAAGTATATGAAGTTACCTTAATAATTTCTAACAAACTTTCATTTGTTTATTTTGTTTTCTTTTAAACTATAGCAGTATTTTGTAATACAACATAAAATAATCATGTAGGAAGAAGAAAATTCATTATTTATTGTTGATGGGGGGAAAGAACATTTGTGAATAACATTCTCTTATCAATGATTCTTAATGCAAATTTTTATTAAAAGTATATAATATTGTCTTAGAAAACTATCCTGACCCAATTGAGAATCCACCCAATATTATGGTTCTGGATTTTAAACAAATGTCACACAAACGGCACTTATTCATTTAATAAATATCAATTTATTATATTAAGTAGCTTGACTTAGCCATTCTACCATGTGTATTTATATCAAAACATCATGTTGTACATCATAAATATATACAATTTTTCTTGTCAATTTTAAAAATTTAATTGAATGCCAAATGGCAGAAACTGCTAGTTGTTTACCAATTTCCTTTTTCCTGACTTAAAAAGTGAATTTCTCAGTTTCAGTTGAAAGCATATCTGCTCAGAGAAGAACTCTATTACCTAGTTTCCCTTACAGCGTGGACTGCTGTGTGACCAGATTCCAGCCATGAGCAGAAGTGACAGGGTGCATCCTTAAAGCTTGAGACCCTTCGCTTCTTCTTTCCACTGTGTGGGAAATCCTCCAATACTATACCACTCCCCTCCAGCCAGTGTCAGAGAGAAATAAACATCAATCTTATTAAAAACCCTTGTGCGTTGGAGTCTCTTAGTTATGTCAACTTAGCATGTTCATTAAATAATACAGCCTCTCTTGACAGGTATAACACTAAAAGTGAAATCTCATTTTTAAAAAAATTTTATTGCCTTCATTCTCTGAGAGGAAAATATTAACACATATAAATTCCTACTACATACACAAATATACTACTGGTAAAGTGTTTTTAGAATGACACTCAAAGTCAACCATCCTAACATTGCAATAGCAATGTACCTCCGAACTGTCAATGCTCAGATTCCACTCTCTCCCTCCTACTCCTTTACTGATGGAATCCTTTTTCTAGTGACACCTGAGCTTACAATCACAGTGCCTCACTCATGAAAAAAGCCATCACCAAAAGTCTGTGCTCTCAGGCTTTTATAAGTTCATATGTGATTATGATAATGTCTGAAAATATCTCTCTAATCAACTAGATAAGGCCATTAAAATACAGTAATACTTAGTTTATATCAAAATATTGACAGCATTTTTCTGCATAATGATAGTGATATTTTTTCTTCTCGGGATGTGACCTTAGCAAGGTTATCTCAGGATAACCTTAGCAAGGTTCAAGAAATATAAATTGTTTTCCTCCAAAATTCTCTTATCCTCTCGACCTCCCCTTTATCAATCAGTACTCTGTTCCTCAAATGATAAAGGAAGTGACCTGAATTTCTTTTAAGGATATGATGTATTTATAATCACATTTATAATATTACTCCTACAAAGAGAAATTAGAACTTGATTAATTTCTAAAGATGTAGGGTGTTAGGGGGACATCTTCAAATATATTAACTCAAAAGAAAAGACAGAATTAGGAAGAAAAAAATGCTTTCTTTTGAGAGTCTATTTAATAACTTAGGCATTTAGTTGTAAAGTATATTTTGTAATGATGAATTTCTTCTTTTTTTATATTCCCCCAAGAATAGCAAAAGCAATTAGATAAGAAGGCGCAGAATCAGTATCTTCCAGTTACAGAACAGATATTCTTCAAAGAGATCAGGAAAAATTCTCTTCCACACTTTTATTTTAGTCTGTAAAAATTTACAATTTTCCCTTAGACCACTCACACAAGGAAAAAAAATAAAAACCTAAAACTTCAGCATGTCTGCCCTTTATGTTGTTCAGAACATAGTCTCTAGAAGCTGACTTTAGATTTTGGCACACATCCATGTTCACACCCGTACATACACAGACTACAGGCAGCCCTCCATATCCATGGGTTCTGCATCTATGGATCCAACCAACCACAGATTGAAAATATTAGGAAAAAACAATAAAAATAACGATACAACAATAAAAAATACAAATGTAAAAAACAATACAGTATAACAACTATTTAAATAGCATTTACCTTGTATTAGGTAGTATAAGTAATCTAGAGGTGATTTAAAGTATATTGGAGAATGTGTGTAGCTATATGCAAATACTATGCCTTTTTTTTTTGAAATGGAGTCTCACTCTGTCACCCAGGCTGGAGTGCAACAGCATGATCTTGGCTCACTGCAACCTCTGTCTCGCGGGTTCAAGTGATTCTCCTGCCTCAGCTTTCCGAGTAGCTGGGATTACAGGCGCCCGCCACCACACCAGGCTAATTTTGTATTTTTAGTAGAGACAGGGTTTCAACATGTTGGCCAGGCTGGTCCTGAACTCCTGATCTCAGGTGATCTGCCCACCCTGGCCTCCGAAAGTGCTGGGACTACAGGCATGAACCACCACACCCGTCCACTATGCCATTTTTTATAAGGGACTTGAGCATCCACAGATTTCAGTATCTGTGGGGAGTCCTGGAACTAATCCCCCAGGGATACTGAGGGTTGACTGTGCCTCTTCTAAGTGCTTTTCTGGTTGCCTTCCTGTATTATGGTCAAATGGCCACATGCTCTCAACACAAGACGGAAACACAGGGATGTCTGCCACATCATGTCCAATCCAAACGTCTCAAGAACATTGCTGGGGAGACAAAATAAAAAACACCTGGCCCTTTTGCTTTTGTTTCCTTTTGTTAAAATCTGACAACCACTTGACAAGGTAATTGAGGAATGACTTGTTACAATCTCTAAGAAAGGAAGACCAATCAAACGAGAGAGGAGAATACACACTGGAGCTAGACCATAACTCCACAGCACTCTGAAGCAGGGAGAAGACTGAGGAGACTTCTGCACACTCTCAGATGGCCTGGACTGCAGTAACAGTCAACTATCAATTTTCTCACCTACATCCACTCCCTACCATCTTTACGTAGCCTCAAAATGATTTCTCCTACCCTATCAGTCCTTAGCATAGTGTCCATTAAAGGAAAGAATTAATGACATAGAGTCTAGGCCTGCCTTAGTAGATGATTGATAGATGGATAATGTCAAATAATGTATCCTCTCTTAGCCTGCTTAAACCGAGAGGGTTAACTAGATGAGCAGATTCAGCTCTAAAGTTCACTGACTTGGAATATGGAATTTAATTTATATGGAAAATAAAGACCAGATAGGTTACATACCTGGTGTCCACACTGCTCATTACCAATAGACATAAAATTTGATGTTCGGTTGCTTAGCATTGAGTTCAGCTTTCATTTCTCTTTACCTGTGATTTACGTTGTATACAATTTTGAATTCCAGGTGGCTTTCTTCTCATTACGTCATATGTTTTGCTTCAATCAATAAAAGTTTAGGAATAAAATATTTACCATAAATCAGTCTAACACAATCAAATTTTCACAAAAAAGTATTTAGAAAATATCAAATATATCTCAAAGCAACAAATAACCTTTTGATTTTCGAGTAGTTTTATTTATTATTGCTATTTCTTCTGTAGGTAAGTGACTCCCATGCAGTGATTGCCAAATGGGCTTTCTTCCCAGGTCCTCTGAAAGAATCTGGAGGAAATGATGATGCTCAGGAGACAATTCATGATCACTCGGAATTTCTGACAACCATGGCAAGTATGATAGCAACAAAGAGATAAGCTTTAAGCAATTTCTAAATATTGTACATTTCCGTTTATTTAGATTATCATCACAATGGTTTGTTTTGTTGTTTGTTTTTGTTTTTTTGAGATAGAGTCTCGCTCTGTCACCCAGGCTGGAGTGCAGTGGTGCGATCTTGGCTCACTGCAACCTCTGCCTCCTGGGCTCAAGTGATTCTCATACCTCAGCCTCCCGAGTAGCTGGGATTACAGGTGTGTGCCACTGCACCTGGCTAATTTTTGTAATTTTAGTAGAGATGGGGTTTCTCCATGTTGGCCAGGCTGGTCACGAACTCCTGGCCTCAAGTGATCCACCCGCTTCAGCCTCCCAAAGTGTTGGGATTACAAGCGTGAGCCACCGCGCCCGGCCCAACACAATGGATATTTATAAAGTCAATTTTTTTATGGGGTTGAGAAAGATAACTTTTAAAAATAATGGGAAAATATTCTGTTTGTACACAGAGATAAAGAATACGTATGATGATCTTGAAAATGCCTTGCCTATCAGCCTGGAACAGTACGGATTGATCAGGTGACTAGGGAAAGCATCCAATCTCCAAAAATGTACTAGAAGAGAGATAGGAAGAAAAATTCATTGACTAGTAAATGTTCCATATTTCAAGTCTGTTACATAAAAATTAAGTACTTAAAAATTCAGTGATGTTTCAAATTAAATTAGACTAAGTCCCAATATAGAAACATGTAAAATATATACACAAGTCTTTGAGACTATTTGGATATACCTGGATATATTTTCCTTGTGGCAGAATGTGGGTCATGAAAAATAATAATCTTTCGTTTTCGAAGTAGAAATATACTAATGCATAAATGTATTGCTTATAATGTATCAGTCTGCAAGGTATTATTTTTCTCATAATAGGAAATGGCAGACGTAGGTAACTATATTCTTCTGGTGTAAAATGGAACAGAACAATCTTTTGCAATTACAATGCATAGACTATACCGGCCCTAGTGCAGGAAGCATAACAATTTGCATATTTTAATTTGGAGGTTAGGGACCCCTGTCAAAGTAACAGCTTGGACCAGGTCAGCAAGGAGAAATCGAGAAGAGAGAAATAATTGAAAAGGCAGTTCCCAACAAAATGAAATTTGTCTCGTTGTCACTTAAGGTTGTCTTCTTGTCTTTTTGAGAGAGCAAGGTCAGCTTAAGAATGAAGGGAGAGTAGAGCATGGTAGATCACTAAGGACCAAAGGATAATTTTTTAAATAACAGTGGCAATTGCAATATATATTTATGAAGGGAAGAAGAAAAGAATGCACATCGCTTTCCAGTTAAGAGTCAGCATGTGTCCTTTGAGTAGAAATATTGCAGATGTGTACATGGCAGCTCTGAAGTTTGTCCTCAAAGACAAGCAGGTTACAAAGGAGATGAAGTACTTAATGAAATAATTTAGTGTGACATATTGATATTGAAGGCTGGAAGGCAGAAAAGGATTTGCAACAAAATTAAGGTATGTCTTTCTTGAAACAGTTCCCTGTTCCTTTCTCCGAGGGCTGATATGAGATTTTCACAAGAAAACAAGCTCGTTTTATTTCTCTCTTCAAGTTTATGCCAAAACATAGATGCCAATGTGAAGCTCAACATCTGCACCACATGAAAATCTCATTGGAATATAGTCCAGAGAAAAGTCAAGTTATGAAATGTTTCTTCGGTTATGTATTGGAGGGGTTTTAATCTCTCCAGTGTCATGTGTTTTCAGTTAGAATGTACGTTAGTAAAAAAAAACTTAGAGCACTAGCAGTGAAGGGAATTAGGCCTGGGAAATGTTAGTTTTAGATAGAGGGAGTGGAGGTGGCTAGTGCTGTTATCAGGGCATAAAACAGCAGCCAAACTTCTATTCTGAGTAAGGATAAACAAGGTCACAAGTTTCTGAGTATACTATAGAGTCATTGCTTGAGAAAATGAAGAAACGTATTTCATGTTCATGATATAGTGTCAACATTTACATAAAAAGGAAAGAAAAACACCCGCAAAAAAAGCTATATTCTGTGATCGCCAAGTTATTTTCTGCCCTCAAACATCTGAAGGAAACCCATTCCACAGTAATGATGGCTGACTATGTCAGTGACTCTCAACTGGCAGTAAGTAGAGAATAAAAGTTTGCAGGAAGGCAGGTAGGAAGGATGAAATGTAAGAGTTCCCCTTTCCCTCCTATGTATAGAATCAAGAGTACAGCATAAATCACCAGGTGAAGAATCAAAATACCAGGCTTAGAGTACTAACTCTCTAGCTGTGCAACCTTGGACAAATCAATTAGTATTAATAACTCCAATTTTCAGTTTTCTCATGTTGAAACAATACATTGCTCTGCACAGTTTTTGTGAAACTACATACATGAATGTGCTGTTTTAGACTGTAAAGTGTGCTGAAAATTTAAGTTTTTCTTATTAATTGGCAGAGATGAATGTTCCTACTTGGTCTCGAGATTCTTGCAAACCCATTTGTTTAGTCATTTTCCCTAGAGCTGAGTCTCAAACACCTATGTGCTTTGTCTCTGGTCCCAATCAGATAAACAATGTTATGACCTGCTTCTACACACTTGCCTGCCCAGGGCATCCCTCCAGGAGGAATGGACTTGTCCTCACAGATGCATGTTTAATATGAAGAACAACTGTTACTCCAAAAACAGTCCTGAAATTTCTGTCACCTAGTGACTCCTAAATTTACTGTGATTTTTCCCTTTTGAAAAATAATAAGAAAATGTGTCAAACAACATATCTAATCCTGAGGTAATGTGAAACTCATATAGCTCCTGGTGAGAAGCTGCAAAGTGGCAATTCTGAAGAGAAAGTTTATAGAATATGCTTGGCAATCTTGAGAATTTTCATTAAAAAAAAGACCATACAACACTTGCTATGAAAAGATATTACATTTTCTCCAGAGAAGTAACACTTCCTCCTTTGTTCTGGAGGTTCTCCAAAGATTTCAGAGCCATTTTGCAGGTTGTGTTACCTAAAGTTATTAAAACTCACAAAATATCCATGAAGTAATAAAATGGAAGCTATTCGTATGCCAATCAAACAGATACTGAAACAACGGTCCTAAGGAAATATGACCTGTCTAAAGCCTCCTAACAAAAAACTGATGGGTCCAGAAATAGAATCTAGGCAGCTGACTCTAGACATTCCAAAACACTTCCTCTCTTCAGAATTATTATTGTTAATTCCCTCTACACATAAACAACCTCCAGCTCCCGGAGGATGGATGAGATCATGCTAACAAGTCATCCATTCTTTCCATAAGAAACACAGCAGTCATAGCCAATGAGCTAATTCATAGAATGTCCATGTGCCATAGTGAACACACACACACACACACACACACACACACACCCCACACTCCCATTCTAGATGCAGATTGTTTTTGTTTTCTTCAGCTAAGCTGTAGTTGAGATTTTAATTTCAAGCTTTAGCCCATGATTTTTTGCCTGAATTTCACACTATATGCTTTTCTATTTCTACTTGTTCTTTCCTTCCTGTACCAAATAATAAAGAACTAGACCATAGTAAAATGGATTTTTGACAGATTTTATAATTTAGCTATTGTCACTTCCACAAAGGCCATTCATTAAACTAACATGTATTATGGACATGAAATAGAATTTGAAAAGCTGAAAGTCATTCAACCCTGACCATAAAAAATACTTCCATAATTTAAACTTACCATATCAGAATTAAACTTGATTTGAAGATGTTAAAAAATGAATATATTTGAGAAAGAAATCCTTGCAAATAGCATCTCAATATAATGTTGGCAATTTGCACAATTTATGTATATTTTCTCCTGCCAAGATACTTCTAAGAAAAGACAACGGTAAAGACAATGGTAGTAGGAAAGAGGAATTGGGTCTCCAAAGACCATCTGCAGTTATCGGCAAAAGATACTTTGTCTATGTGTGCAGTTTTAAAAAGACTGGTAGCCTATACTGGATTTTAGGTCAGAATGGAGCATGTGGTGTTGAGGGGGAAAGCATTACCAGCTTCGTCTTCTTTAAATATGAAAGAGGATATTCTGGCTACATTGTTGGTGATCAGCAGTGTCTGACTCAGCCTCTGCAATTTTTCCATTATAATGCTCATGAAAATAGGGAAAGAGATACAGTTTCAACAGTGGAAACTAGAAATGTGGGTCAAAAATGTGTCAGGAAAAAGTTGGAGAGTCAACTAAGGAAAACTTAGCCTGGAGGCAGAGTGAGAAAGGCACATGGGTTAATGAGGTAGGGGATTTCCATCTACGCATACTCATGGAGGCACAAACCCACCTTTCTGCTTTGTAAAAGCCCACCTCTATTTAATCCAAATACACTGTTTCACCCCTTGGCCCTGCTTCAATCTCTAATGCATCTCTCCACCCCAATATTCCTCAGTAATGAAATGCTAATGAGGTCAAAATGGATGTGAGTAATATTTTAGATTTTCTTCACTATTTGGGATTTTTCTGCAATGCAAGAAATACAGAGAACTTCAGACTAGACAGAATAAGATTCTTCCCTTATGTCTAGACAAGGTAATCTAGTCATAACACCATGAGATTGTTTCTCAGACCAACAGATACTAAATTAAAGACAACACGGTACCAGAAAGTTGACCGGTGTGAACAGTGATACCTCCTATATCTTAAGATTTGAAAGGATGATTCTAATTAGATTCAGATAAAACTGAATAATACTAAAACAGAATAATCCATTTGTTTCAAGGATGAGGCAATCTCTTTTCAAAACAAGTAAGTACTGTATGAAGTGATTGTATAACACAAAACACAGACACTAGCACTAGAGAAGGAGCAGAAGGATATTTTTTGAAATCATTTATAATTTTAAAAGCTGATAAATTATTGTATTTATTGTATTTGTTTTTTGCTGTAAAAAATGTAAGGAAACAAGGCTTCTACACAATAAGCCAATAATGGTAAATTTGTTAAAATTACAGACTGACATTTGAATTGGAAGGACAGAAAGTAGCATGATGGTTTCTAGAGGCTGAGAAAAGGAAGGAGGAGAGAATTGTTTAATGAGTACAGAGTTTCAAGTTTGCAAAATGAAAAGAGTTTTGGGGATTGGTTACACAGCAATTTGTATTTAACACTACTGAACTGTCACTTAAAATAGTTAAGATGGTAAATTTCATATTATATAAATTTTATAATTAAAAATTTTTAGAAAGAAAGATAATAACTAATATAGACAACAAAAATAACTTGAATGAGAAGCAAGCTAACTATGTCAGAGAAAAAGAAAGGTCTCTATGTAGCTTAGTGGATAAGAGCATAGGATTTGGATTAAAAAATGTCTTATTACATACTATAGTTCCACTATTTTCCAACTCTTTTATTTTGGAAAAGTTCCTTAATCTGTGAAAGCCTTATTATCTTCACTTTAGAAGGCACAATAATAGCACATTCTTCATAGGATTTCTGGTAAACATTCATTGAGATAATGCATTCAAAGTGATTGAATGGCGTTTGACATATAGTTAAGTACTCAATAAATATTAATTATTGTTAAGTTATTCAAAACCCAAAATGTAATCACATAATTAAAATCAATATTATAAATAATAAAGAGCTATATCAACATTACAAAGAATGAGCTATTAATAATGAATAAAAACTTGAGTGATTCTCATAGAACATAGAAGAAATAAATAAGAAAATGAAAACAATTTGAGAAAAGATAATAGATATGGAGGGCAGAGAAAAATCTTCAACATATCTTAACTGGTGGCTTAATAAGGAATTTAAAATCATAAACAAGTTATAATAGAAGCCAAAGTTTCTATACGAAATACTTTGGTTTTAAATAAATGAAAAGAAAAACCTGTCAAATAAATGGAGAAAAACAGTTAGACACAGGTTTGTAAAATTTTGTTTACTTTTTCATGTATTTTTAGTTTCAACTTTTAAAGAAAGTTCTTTAATTCCATCTAAGCAAAGCATTAACAATAATTTTTAAAAGTCACAACACCAAACCAAACAACAAAAGCCAGAATTGTTCCACATTTTTTTTTTAATTTACAAAATTCTATAACCCTATTGAACAACATCAGGCCCCACAATCTCAATTGCCATCCCAAGTCAGATAGGTAATACAAAATAATGAAGTAGGGCAAGTAAGTACTATGGCAAATTGGAGACTGCACGTCCAGCTTAAGGGCAGAAGTTGCGACTCAATTCTAATTCTGAATTGCTATGTGAGAATGCTCCAGTGTTGCCAACTGCTCTACCTGGTGAGCAAAGCCTACAAGTAGGGATTTTTATGTGAAATCTTCAGATTTGTTTAAAGTCATCAACCAATTCACATTTTCAGTTAGTGCTCTGCAGGCCAAGCAAAACAGATCAACACACAATATGGTCTGTAAGCAATACTTTGTCAATAGTTTATAAAGAACAAGGCTGTAACCTAAATAAAAGAGCTCCATTTCTACTCAAGTTTTTGTTCATGTGTAAAAGAAAAATATGTTTCCATATATTTAAACTGAGTATACATTTTATATATCCATCCTTCATTAAAAATAAAAACCACAAATGTATATTATAGCTGACAAATCAATGAAACAATAAACAATTCAAAATGAAGAAGCAGTAAGATAAAGTTGCTGGTGAAAAACATGGTTAATAATGATAAAAATTATAAAATATAGAAGGAAGTCAAAATAATTCTTGTAAATTATATATGTTAAACATGTATACATTAAGGAAAACAAATGAATATGAATTTATATGGAAAATCAATTTATATAACGTTTTAAATTGGAGAAACTTAAAGCATTTTTATTTTAAAATTGACCAATAGTCAAATTAGCTCAGAATGTGTAATATCCAATTCAACTTCCAAATTTCTCGTAAAAGGAGACATTATCCTTAATGGGAAAGACAGTAATAAAGCAAAAGACATAAAAAATGGAAAACCAGAAAACATAAGCAATGCTAAAATGCAGTCTCAAATAGATCAATAATATCAAATTACATATGAAGGATACATATCAAAAGTCCAAAAACATTTTAAAAGTAAAATTTGAGATGAAGTTATATTAGAAAAGCAGAAATGATATAGTGGCAGTTGTTTCCTCTGCCTAATCTAGGAGTAAAGTTAATGCTCCTTAAGAAAAGTCTGAAAACTATAGTTGTGAGCCAAATACTGCCCATTTCCTGTTTTGTAAATAAAGTTTTATTGGACAATACATCATTTATTGATGTATTGTCTATGGTAGAGTTGAGTATTTGTAACAGAGAGCATATGGCTCATGGTACTGAAAATATTTACTTTCCGGCCCTTTATATAGAAAATTTGCTGATCCCCAACTTTATAATATGCATAATGTCATTATTCTGTGGCTTATTGCTCTCCTTGTGTACAGAGGCACAGCATTACAGAGGCATAGCATTAGAGATATAAATCCCCCAATTTAATAGATCTGAAATTAATGCATTACTATCCCTTAATAAATAATTATGCCACAATCAAATTGTTTCCAATACAACCTATATTAAATTGATTTTTTAAAATTATTCTACAACTAGGAATTATTTGCACTGGAAGTTGAACATGTCAGCAAAGGTCATAATTTTTATGTCTCTCATTTGTCATAGTGAAATATTACAAATTATATAAACATTGTAATGCCTGCAATTTTTTGTTTACATTGCTTAGTTTCATAATAATTTTGAATTTTAAAATTTATTTCATTCGATTTTTACAGCCTCCTCCATCTCTTCTCTTTGTAAAGAATAATTCTAGTGTATGTATTATGCATTGATGTTACACAAAGTTCAATAACATTGCACAAAGTAGAAAAATAGTACACAAAGTCCAGGAATAAAAAGTCATCTTAAAATGATAAAGGATCAATTCATCAAAAAGACATAATGACCCTAAACATTTATTTACCAAATATTTATGTGATATTAATAGAGCCACCCTTAGATTAATGTTAGCATGGCACATCCTTTCCCATCCTTTTACTTCTAACTTGTCTATTTCTCTATATTTATATAATGGGTTTCTTCTAGGGAGCATATCTTGCTTTAAAAAAAACATAATCATACGCTCTTTGCCTTTTAACTGGGAATTAGTCCATTTATATTTGGTGTGATTATTGACATGGTTGGTATAAATCTATTATTGTGCCATTTATTTTTCATTAATCTCTTTTTTGTTCCTTTTTTATCTTTTCTGCCTTCTTTTGGATTATTTGTTTATGATTCCATACTATTTCTTTTGTTGGACAATTAGTAATAACTGATCATTGTGTTATTTTAGTGTCTATTTTAGTGTTTAAAGTACACATCTTTAACTTATCACAGGCTATCTTCAAGTGATATTATATAAATTAATGTGTACTATAAGAAACTTAAAAATTATATTTCCATTTCTTCCTTCCCAGCCTTTATGCAATGTAATCATATATTTTGCTTTGATATCTGTTATAACTCATAGTATACATTGTTACTGATTTTTTTTTGAGTAGATAATCTTTGAAGAAGATTTAAATAATTTTTAAAGAAAGCTTTGTATGTGCTACATAGTTATCATTCCTAAAGTTCTTCATTGCTTTCATATATTTATGTTTGAAAATCCTTCATTTAATCCTTGTTTTCTAGAGATATTTTCAGTAGGTAAATAATTTTAGCTCATTACTTGGTTTTTTTTTTAGTGTAGTTTGCATTATTTCCAATGAGAATTCTGCTGAGATACTTAACTTTTTAAAAATATGTATGTACATCTCCGCACCCCTGCCAACTGCCCCCAGCTGATGTTATAATTTTTTTTTTCTTTATCATCGACTTTAAGTAATTTGAATGAGATGTGACTTGCTAAAATTTCGGTGTTTGCTTTTTCCTGGCACTTGCTCTTGAGATTTGTTGAGTTTCTTGAATCAGGAGATCTGTGGTTTTCAGCACATTTGAAAAAACTGTGCCCATTATTTCTTCAAATATTCTGTGTATACCCTGATTTCTTGTGTTTCAGGAACTCCAATCATATAAATATATATAGAACTTTATATATATATATTATATATATATTATATATTTTATATATATTTTATATATATATTTTATATATACATTATATATAATATATATATAATATATATTTTATATATACATTATATATAATATATATATAATATATATATTATATATAATATATATATTTTACATATATTTTATATATATTTCATATATATATTTTATATAATATATATAATATATATCATATATATATTTTATATATGATATATATTATATATATTTCATATATATATTTTATATATGATATATATTATATATATTTCATATATATATTTTATATATGATATATATTATATATATTTCATATATATTATATATATGATATGTATTATATATATTTCATATATATAATATATATGATATATATTATATATATTTCATATATATTATATATATGATATATATTATATATATTTCATATATATAATATATATGATATATATTATATATATTTCATACATATTATATATATGATATATATTATATATATTATATATATATTATATATAATATATATATATTTTATATATATTTTTTATATATATTATATATATATTTTATATATATATAATATATATATATATATATATACTTGTTCCAGAACTCACTGATGCTCTGTTCAATTTTTAAAAGGCTTTATCTTTTTTTTCATTTCAGATGGTTTCTATTGATATGTCTTTTTCCTCAATGTTTAATCAGCCATGAATCTCAATCAGTGAATTTTTTAATCTCAGATATTATAGGTTTTATTGGTACAAGTGCAATGTAGGTCTTTTTATATCTTGTGTTTCTACTTAACAAGTTTTAGTTTTCCTCTGGATATTTGAATATATAGAATACAGATAGGATATTAAGGTTGGTGCAAAAGTAATTATGGTTTTTGGCATTACTTTCTTTTTTTTTTGAGATGGAGTCTAGCTCTGTCACCCAGGCTGGAGTGCAATGGCGCGATCTCGGCTCACTACAACCTCCGCCTCCTGGGTTCAAGGAATTCTCCTCTCAGCCTCCCGAGTAGCTGGGATTACAGGCGCCTGCCACTACACCCAGCTAATTTTTGTATTTTTAGTAGAGACAGAGTTTCACTGTGTTGGCCAGGCTGGTCTCGAACTCCTGACCTTGTGATCTGCCTGCCCCGGCCTCCCAAAATGCTGGGATTACAAGCATGAGCCACCCTGCCTGGCTGCCATTACTTTCAATGGCAAAAAAACTGCAATTACTTTTGCACCAACCCAGCTGTTTTAATATCCCTGCCTGTTATCATTTGTGTTATTCTGGCTCTCTTCAAATATTAGTTTTGCTCATTTCATTTCCTCTTTCTTTCCTCCTAAGACTCAGTTGTATATATTAGGAGTTGCTAAACTTTTTCTGTAAAATGCAAGATAGTAACTACTTTAGTAAGTACTCAGCTCTGCCAGTGTAGTGGCATAGAAAGCAGCCATAGACAATATCTATGTGAGACGTGAATTATGATAAATATACCTTCTTGTCCTAATGTTTCTTTTACCAGCAGATAAGATTCTTCCTGGCATTAAATTATATTTTTCATATAATAAGATTACTATGTCACTTCTCTTTTGCTTTATATTTGCCTGATACATCTTACGTTTATTTTAGACAACTTACTGTTGAATTAAAAAAAATGCAGCATTAGAGTCTCCACCGTTTAACTCATATGTTTAATCAACTTTTATAGTTAACAACGGTGATACTGGAAAGTATTTTTCACGTAAACTTCACATTTTGTTTTTCCTTTTTCTCCACCTGTGCTTTCTATTTAAGAGTGAGTGATTTGTTCTGCTGCTGAAAATTTACTGATGGCATTTTTTTCTCATTATGGCAGGTGTCTTTCTCCAAAGACCCATAATCATGATTATTTTCTAGTAATCAATTCTTAAACTTATATATATAAACATACACACACACACATATGTGTATGCATTTAAGAATTTTATATATATTTCTGCTAACAACATAAGTAATATAATTTTCCCAAGAGGACATTTTTCTTGATGAGACAAATAACTTAATTCACTCTCATTCCTCATGTTCCCTACCTTATCAAATTGAATCATGTTGAATTTTAGTTCTGGCTATTGTAAATATACTTCTCCATTTGGTCTAATTTTTTTCCCCTTTCCTTCTCTTTCCCTCCACCCACCTCATTCTCAGTCTTTGCCAAATTATGATCAAATATGTTGCTACATATTTGATCATTTCACTTATCATACCTCTTCCATCATTTCCTGGCATTGTTCTTTTCTAAATTGATTTCTTCTAAAATCATATTCAACTGGGGTATTTGTTCCTTTCTTTGCTTTCTATTTAGCAGTATTCAAATTTTTCTGTCTTTGATAATTTTAAGTTTAATTATAGTCTAAGTGTGAGTTTTTTATTATCAATACTATTTGACATTCGATGATCTTTCTAAATCCAAGATCTTTAATCCTTCTTTAATTATGAGAAATATACATACATTTTTATGTATAATATTCCCATGTGGAACTTTATAATTCATTGTTTTACTTTCATATGGTTAAACTTTCTAATATCTTCATAACTATATTTATTATTCTATTTATAATTCTTAATCTGTCAGTTCTAGTATTTATACTTAAGATAGTGTGTGTTGTCCAGTTGGTGCATTTTCTTTTGGTAATTATAGCCCTTTGCATCTAGTTATTTTGGTGAGTGAGTTCTCCCCTGGCATATCAGCTACTCTGTTTCAGCAGGATCTCTGAATAGAAAAGATGTCTGCATTTCTGAAAATGTGTTTTGGGTAAGGGCCAAAAGCCAGGCTGCAATTTATATGAATTTTGGTGAGGTTAAAAATAGAGACAAGGATAAGCCCCTAGGCAGAAAGTCAGAGAGTCCCAGGCACTGCAGAACCTCTGTGGATTCCAGGCTGTAACAGTCAGTCCTCCAAGAGTTTCATCTGGTCAGTAATTCATGTCTCATCTTTAATGGTAATACAGCAATGGGGGTGGTGGTGGGGGAGGGCAGTTTCCTTAGATTATTATTTATCAGTGAATGGGTATTTGGAGGGAAAGGAAGAGGAAGGGTCAATGCCCAAGGGCAGCTGGTCAGTCTTCTCTTATTTTTAAAGATTTGTCACCCAAAAAGGGCCTTCCTGCTACCCAAATATTACTTCAGAGACACCACACAAGTGATCTAAGCTGCTGTAGCAGATTTTTGGGTAGGGAAGGAGATAATTTTCCTAAGACAATGTAGGGGAAATGCGAGTGCAAAATTGAAAGGCTCTTCTCTGCTTTATCTTGTCAAGGCCATCTGTGAAGCACTTCCATAGGAAAATGCAAATTCCTATCCTTTCCACACCCAGCAATTACAATTTTCAATCTTCTCAAGGTCTTCTGTTCGTTGCTTTGGTTAGTTTCTCAGAGATGTTTTCCAGTAATGACAATATTATAAACTAAACTTTAAGGTTAAGATGAGGAAGTCGAGTCTAGCACAAGCCAGTTCACAGTTCTACCAGGGACTAGAACTCTCCAGTCTGTCCTCTGTTAACTTTACAGGTAGGCCAGGCGCGGTGGCTCATGCCTGTAATCCCAGCACTTTGGGAGGCCAAGGTGGGTGGATCACTTGAGGTCAGGAGTTCCAGACCAGCCTGACCAACATGGTGAAACCCCATCTCTACTAAAAGTACAAAAGTTAGCCGGGCATGGTTGCAGGCGCCTGTAATCCCAGCTACTTGGGAGGCTGAGGCATGAGAACTGGTTGAACCCAGGAGGCAGAGATTGCAGTGAGCCGGGATCGTACCACTGCACTACAGCCTGGGTGACGGAATGAAACTCCATCTCAAAAAAAAAAAAAAAATACTTTGCTTTTGTTTCGTTTTCTTTGTGTAGTTCAGAAGCCCTTCTCCCAACCTGAGTCAATTTGCATAGTTTTCTGCTCAAGGGCTCTAATATACTCACTGGTATATGTACACCCCGTTATAACTTTAAAAGGATTCTGTTCCAAAAAGTGGTCAATAAGAACTATACCAGCTTTAAATTCTGATTTTTTTAAAGTGAAGGAAGATAGGAGAGCTTGAGATAATTTCCTGTTCCTGAATCTCTAATTTAGTATAGTGCTCTCCTGCTAGTAGTTTGAGCTGACAAAAGAATTGACTATGGTGTGAAAGAAATTGAATTACATCTTTGCCTCCCCCCACCTTCAATTTAGGAGCATTTTCAAAATTAGGCATCAAAATGCAAAAACATCATAAAATAAATTTGAAATGCAGAAATTACTACTTGCACAGTGTCTGTACAATTTTAATTCTAAACATTTCTAAAAACTCAGTTCTAAGATAGCATTTTCCTGTGCGTGAAGGGAGGTGGAATGGATAATTTGAATTACAAAAAAGACTTGATAACCCCCCACACATCAATTTACCTGTGAACAAAAAGACTCACACTGAGAAAATGGGACTTGGGACTATTTGATAAATTACTACAGACTACTTGAATATTCCATTAGCAAAATAATAGCTCGTTATGGAATCTCAGAAGAATGTAGTATAATTACAATAGTACTATCCTCCCTTGGAGATTGGGAGGAATGCAAATGTTCAAAATGATAGCTATTTAACCAATGTTAGAGAAAAATGCCTGAAAACAAACTCGGAGGGTATATGATTTATGGAACTTAGGGAAATTATTATAGTTTCCACCAGCTTTAATTAGTTGAATGTGTTTCTACCAAATGAAGGTTATTCACATTATTGGGCCATATAGATGTATATATGCACACCCCACATGTGAGTAATGGTAGAATTACCTTAGTCTCTGTTAAAATTTTCTGTAAACTGCACCTGGATGTATTTGAGAAGTGATGACATGTTCACATTTTCAGTACCAGGTGAGAACGTTTTGAGAAGTTGATTATTGGAAAGAGGTGCTAAAGTAGAAGATTAGAAAAGGTATATGATGGAGGGAAAGAATGGAGGGTGGGAATGAAGGATCAAAGAGAAAGAAAAAATGGAATAATGAAAAGAAGCCTAATGTCTAACTTATAAATATGATGACCTCTATCACAAACTAAAGTACAAAATTACAACAAAATTGCCCAAGTTTTTGAACCAATTAATATGTATCAAGTGCCCTTCTCTTGCTACTGGACCCAAATGATATATAAATGGATAAACAAAACTAATTTTTCTTTAACAATTTAGCTTTTTCAGCCATAAGATGTTGTGACATCCAATAAACGAATCAAGCCATTTAATTTTTAATCAAGCCATTTAATCTCTTAAAATTAAAAAGTTGCTTTAAGAAAATAAAACGTATAATAATTACTAATGTTGGCTATGAGAGCACATTCAACATGTGGCTTTTATTCCTTTTGTAAAGCTGGCATGTCCCAAATTTAGGAAATTTGCAAAATATTTCTAAGCGAGAATTTTACAGTGAGTGTTATGCTCAATGAGCAGGGATATTCATACCTAAACCACGTTGGTATGTTTAATGTCACTTAGTTGGAAATGAAGTTTGCAATGGCTCAAACTTCCCCATGTGAAGTATATATTTGTCTAGGTTCCCATCCTTTTGTAAAGATCACTGGAGACAAAGTCAACTTAGAGAATATTTAAGGAAAAACATTTCCATATTAAAAGCAATAATATAGAATAGTTGTGCTTATCAGAATGCCTAGAATCTTTTATTCAAATGTCTTAATAGGATGAACACAGGACTTTACCCAATGTATTCACTACCAGACTGTCAAGGCTAGAACTTGGCAAATAAACACTCAATATTTGCAGAATGAATATAATAAAGAAAACATAAAATAACATGTTAAGTAAGACTGTATATGTTTTCCCAACATACAGCCAACTTTTAATTATTTGTTGGTAACCAGTGGCATTGATAGCCCAAAATCATGATGAAATTTGGAAAGTTTATATGTTTAGAGAAAAATGCTTTAACTTTCTAAATGATGATTCTTTTGGGCACAAAATATCCTTCTAGTTCTTCTACACACAGGCAGTGTTATGGGAAACAGTGACTAGGAATATAACTAAAGAAATAAGATTCCTTTGTATAACCTATAAACAGAAAACCAAATGTAACTTATTTAGCATTCGTCTGTGACAATAGTATTCAGAGATTAGACAAGTAACATTCTGTAATATTTAGTAATTATTCCAAAATTTTTTCTTAACCTTGGTTGGTTCTGGGTAACATGGAGTAAGCATTCCTCCTCTCTCCTGTTGAAACTAACTACAAAGCCTAGGGAGAATGCATAGAGCAGCTATTTGTGGGCTCTGTAAATACCAGCAAGAGGATTGGAGAAGTTCAGAATTCCAAACTCACCAAACCCAAACCAGAAGTTTTTTCCCCTCTGACATCCTTTGTCTTGGATTTAACACAGCCAGAAACTTGGAAGTGAGCACTCCTATAGATACAGAAAATTCCAGCAGGAGCCAAAAAAGGGGAACCTATCACCCCTGAGAGAGATGTCCAGCCCCCACCCTCCTTTCCTGTGCCAGGCCCTAGGCCAACCTTGTCCAACCCGCTGCCTATGGACTGCAGACGGCCCAGGATGGCTTTGAATGTGGCCCAACACAAATTTGTAAACTTTCTTAAAACATTATGGGATTTTTTTTTTGGCTTTCCTTTTTTTTTCGCCCAGCTCATAGGCTATCATTAGTGTTAGCGTATTTTACGTGTGGCCCAGGATATTTCTTCTTCTTTTAATGTGGCCCAGGGAAGCCAAAAGATTGGATATCCCACCCTAGGCTATCCCATGGCAGCCCTGGCAGTTACAGTATGGAAATCCAGAAGAGACAGACTGACTCCAAGCAAGGAGAGCCTTTCTGCGCCTTCCCAACAGCTGCAATTTCAAGAAGGTGGGGCTAATTCCCATCACTTGTTTTCTCTCTCTCCCCCTCCTGTTGCTTGGCCCAGGTTGGAGGCAGAATCTTCTGTAGACACTCTTCACCAAATTTAGGGTATTTTCAGCCATGATTCTTTCAAATATTTTTTCAGCCTCACTCTTTTTTTCCCTGCCCACTCTGACATTCTAATGATATAACTGTTAGACCTTTTGGGATTGCTCTACAAGTTTGTGATGTTCATTAGTTGTTTTCTTTATGTGGTTTTTCTCGGTTGTACAGGTTGAATGGTATCTACTTATCAATTGTCAAGTTTACTGACTCTTTCCTCTGCCATCTCCACTCTGTTATTAATACCACCCTATGAGATTTTTATTTCTCATAGTGTAGTTTTCAATTCTAAAATTTCCATTTGTATCTTCTTTGTCTTCTGTTTGCTGAGATTTTTCTATGTTTTCATTTGTTGGAAGGATGTTTCTGTTATCCTTTGTTATTGGAGAAGTCTTAAAACTGCTTTCAAGTTTCTATGAGATAATTCCAACATCTGTGCCATCTCAGTGGTGACCACTGTTGATTGTCTTTTCCTAAGCAAGTTGATATTTTTCGGGTTTCTATATATGCTAACTAACTTCAAATTATGTGGTGGGTATTTTGAGTCTCTGGGTTTTTTGTTTGTTTGTTTGTTTGTTTTTAGACGAAGTCTTGCTTTGTAGCCCAGGCTGGAGTGCGATGGTGCGATCTTGGCTCACTGCAACCTCCACCTCCCAGGTTCAAGCAATTCTCCTGCCTCAGCCTCCCAAGTAGCTGGGACTACAGGTGTGCACCACCACACCCAGCTAATTTTTATATGTTTAGTAGAGACGGGGTTTCACCATGTTGGCCAGGATGGAGTCTCTGGATTTTGTTGAAATTCTACAAAGAATGTGGATATTTTTTCTTTAATAGCAAGCAACCTAATTGGGTCAGGTCACAAGTTCTGGCCAGGCTTCTTTGGTCAATTTGGCTTTCAAAGTCTTTGCAGTGTGATTCCAATCTGTCCTCCAAGTCCTGCATGCAGCCAGTCTAGGACTTGAGCAGTGGTCTATCCCCTAGTTCAGTTCTCAAAGTCTATGCATTCTATTCAGGTTTACATCCGTGCACACACAGCTCAGGGTTAGTAGTTAGGAGTTCATGTGCAACTAAAAGGAGTTGTTTTCTCAAGCTCTTACCTCTTTGAAATCTTGGGACTTTCTGGTTTCTTGAGGGTCCTTTTTTTAGTCATCTGGCCAGAAATCTAAAGCATCCTGTTTCCACTCTGCTTCACACTGTACTTGATTGTAGCCACGTCAGAAACAAGTGTGGGCAGTGGGAGCTGGGTAGGGGAAATAACACCATTGCTCTAAGATTATGTGATGTCTGAGGCACCAGAAAACAGAGCAAAGAAAACAAAACAAAGCAAAAAACAAACATGGACTTCCACACTTTCTCTGAGCATTAGGAGGTCCTTTTAGCTTTCCTTGAGCGGGAACCAGAGTGATTTTCCTGAATTTCTGTCTGTGCCAGTGATTCCTTCTGGTCCTCAGGCTATCTTGAGTTCAGGCAATGGAATTCCAGAGAGGAAAAAATTTGGTGAATTCACTGTAGTTTTGATGGTTCTTGACTTCCGGACTTCTGATTCAATCCACCTGCCCCTATTTTCTTTATTCTTTTCTTTTTTTTTTTTTTTAACTTTTAAGTTCAGGTGTACAAGTTCAGGTTTGTTATGTAGGTAAACTTGTGTGGTGGGGTTTTTTTGTACAGATTATTTTATCACCCAGGTATTAAACCTACTTTTTTTTCCTGATCCTCTCCCTCCTCCCATCCTCCACCCTCTGATATGTCCCAGTGTGTGTTGTTCCCCTTTAACTGTCCGTTTGTTCTCATCATTTAGCTCCCACTTATAAGTAAGAACATACAGTATTTGGTTTTCTCCTCCTGCATTAGTTTGCTAAGGATAATGACCTCCAGCTCCATCCATGTCCCTGCAAAGGACATGAGCTAATTCTTTGTTATGGCTGCATAATATTCCAAGGTGTATATGTATCGCATTTTCTTTAGCAGTTTCTCTTCAGATCGTATAAATCTTTCACCTGCCCCTATTTTCTTTTCAGAGTCATCTGCTTCATCCACATTCTTTCTAGGTACATTGTTTTATAGCTACATTCAGTGAAAGAGTTGGTTGGAGTGGAGTGTCCTTCATCCATCTTAGCCAGAAATAAATCTTTCTCTCTCTCGTATCTATATCTGCATTTATATTTACCTGTATCTTTCCATTTCTCTCACTCTCTAATTTCTCATATATGTATTATCTACCTATCTATCTAATCTATCTACCCATCCATATATTTGACTGGCTTAGACGCTAGAGTATAAATCTGTGAGTTGTTAATCAACATTTTGTTTTTGCAGTGTTTTTAACTGTTTAGGTTAAAGCTTCTTAATCCAAAAGCTAGCTTCAGAATTAGTAAATATAAGGCATTAAAGGTTTAATGGGGAGGTTTAGGAAATTGAGTTAGTCAAATATAATGCATAAATGTTCAGTTGTATGTTTTTCATCCTGCTGTAGAGACAAAGATTTAGACCTGTGGTAGGGTTCATTATTCTGAATGAATCTGCGTTCAGATTCTGTGTGTCCAGGAACATAACAAATTGAACCATCTATTCACCACATGCTTGAGTCCCCTTGATCTTATCTATGCTAAGTGGCAATCATTCTAGGATGAATTTAGAACCACTGCTTTATAATGCTGTCCAGTCTGACTGCTAGAAAATTCTCCCCTAAATTTGAAGCCAATTCTATTTTTTTCTGCAATTTTAACCCAGTTTCCATTTTTCTTCCTCTTTGGGTCTTAAAGAAGAGGGTTTTTGAAAAATCTATTTACTTCTTTTCCCCCAAACAGGAAAGCCCTTTAAATATTTGAACACAGTTTAGCTTTCTCCTCCTAAACATTCCTGGGTTTTCTGAAAGGTTTTCCTATAACAGTCTATGACCATGTTTCTCTGGGTGGTCTGCAGGCCATCTGTTGCCGAATATTCTGAGGTTCCTATTAAAAAAAGGCCGACCTGTAGGTTTCACCTCAGATGTACTGAATCAGACTGTCAGATTGGAGAGTCATTGCTCTCTGCTGTTGGAGTTGGGCCCCAGCTGGGCTCAGTGTCAACCTGCTCTGTTCTCCTTTTAACTGAGTTTTCTCTGCCCATCAAGTGAATACCAGTGGGGAACTTACCCTTAGAATCTCAAAAGTACTGTACTTTGAAAATGTTTCCAGAAATTGGCAAGGGCATATGCCTTGGGATTCCTGTATTCTCTGATGGATAATATAATTTATAGCAAGCAATGCAGTGAGAGCCAGGATCTCTGAGAGTCTAAGACACTGAAGTTACAAGTTTAAGGGGCCATTTGTGGGTCAAAAAGACTAATTAGGGAGAAAGAGAGCTAGAGATGTGGAGCTTGGTAAAGTGATTTTTATTGTTATTGCTGCTGTTATATTCCACGGGCGCTTACACACTATGTTGGTGGAGTCCATTCCTCCAAAGGAGAGAGTCAGTAAAAGTTTAGTTTAAATTCTTTCTTTGGGTCCTAATGGAAATCCTTTTGTATAAGTGTTGATCCTCAACCATGAAGAAGTGGCAACTCCCTGTGAGAAGAAATTTGCAGCCGACTTTCCTATGAAATTCAGTTGAAAGTTGAAAAACAAAATAGCAATACCAAGGTTCTATGTTTAGAGATTCTGATTTGGGAGGCCTGCAATAAGGCCCAGACGCCCATTTACTTTAAGCTATCCAGTGATTTGCGTATGCGTCTAGGGCTGAGAACCGCTCTCCTAAATATTTATGTAGACATTCCTTTTGCTATTATCAAAAGTGATGTGGACACTTCCAGCTAATTGATAACAGAATCATAAAAAAACCTGGTAACTATTTGGGAATAAAACTCCTCTCTTCTAGTCCATTTATTTTGAAAAAAAAATCCGATTTAAATTTCTAGAGAAGAGAGAGACATATTTGCATTAATTGGGGAGAAAATCTCTTTGCAACAGGGAATAAATAAAAGGAAATAAGTTGAATTCAGGGAGGAAAATTCTTTATTTTGCTTCAGAATCAGTAGCATATAATGAAAATCTGTCACTTTAAAAAATAATAAGTTGGTTTCACTAACCTGTATAACATTTAGCCCCCTCCTCCTACTAGTCAGGCCCATGAGATAAAAAGAAAACTAAAAGCAGTGAGTGTTTTTGGAGCTATAAGCTAAAATGTATTCTAGAGCATCTCGAAGACAAGTAGCTATTATTCATTCTGCCCCTAGAAGCATATATGTAATTGGGACTGTGGGCCCCAATTGCTTTAACTTGAAATACAACTAACATTTTTTTTTTCACTCTCTTCATATTCATACGTAGTGGTTTTTCCCTTTTCCCTCTCCTGAAAACAATACACTTTAGCAAAACCACATTATAACCAGTCTTGACCTTATTTATTCCCACCCTCCTACCTCCCTACCCCCCTACCCCCCCACCCCTGCTACAAGATTCAACTTTCACAGCTGTTGTGATCTGTGGGCCAAATCAAAGCTAAGAGAAGCTTTGTAGTTTCTGAAATTTTCCCTTCTTTCCAGAAAGGAACAAGAAGTCTTGGAATGACTGAGCCACTGCCAGCCAGCACAGATCTCGCAAACCCAGCCTCCCCTCTCATCTCTCAGGAACTCAGCTGATTGAAGAAAGCCACCTGTTCCTAGGCCACCCGACTTTCTCTGTAATCAAGAAATAATGACCACATTTGAGAGAAGAACCTCTTTGTTGGTTCTGATAAGTGCCCTAGGAATTCATGGGGCAACCAAACTGAGCAAACTTCAGCTGAAATGAATGCCAAGGGCAGAACAGAGGCATGCTAATGGCCAGCTTTCATTTTTCTGTTTTTAATACCATCTGCATCTCTTTTGATATTTGAGTTACTACTTCATGTTACGTAGCTATATTTTTACAAAGGATTTTTTCTTCCCCTTTGGAGTTTCAGCTTTTTATTAAGAAAATCTTTCAAGGGAGGATGTTCCAGTAGTATTAGGTGGGTGCAAAAGTCATTGTGGTTTTTGCCTCTCCTTTCAATGGCAAAAACCATAATGATTTTTGCACCAACTTTAATAACTTGTGGACAGGGTTTGTGTGAGGAGTCAGCAGCAGACTGGACACTAGGACATGACCTAGGTTTGGTCAATTAGATGTTTCAGCCTGGGAATTTTTATCTGGAGCCAGTGATGCAAAGAGAAAGAGAGAGATATTTAAAATGTGTTTATAGCTCTCAAGGTGTCCAGTGAGGGTGCAGCATCAAGCAGCATCAGTGTTCCATGGCTGCAGAAGTGACAGCTCAGCAGGGTATCTCTGCTAAAAAGCAGTTGTTTTTCTCGCTTCTTTTGCTACCAAGTTCTCATTCTTTCCATCTATTTCCTAAGTCTGATTGTCCAGCCGGCTGTAGATTCTGTGAGCCCCGTTATCTTTCCAGTAAATATTTTTCTATTTAAATTAGCCAGAATCACTTTCTGCTGCCTGCGACCAAGGATCCTGTCTGATACATGTAAGATGAGAAGGGTGTGGTCATTAGAATGAGAAGTGATCATTTTAATTCCAAGCCTGGGAATATTCCTTAGGAAAATTTCTGCAGTTTTACAGTGTATGTGGAATTATCATCTGGAGCATAAGCACAAGATTGGAGATAAATATTAGAAGACTCAACTCTAGGGTACTGTAAAAAGTTGATGGGGTTTTTTAGTTGTAAGAGTAAATATACTTTTCTAGAGCTTCTTAAAATTAAATAAATGGTCATTTTTTTCTAAAGTAAGGTGGATGCAATCCTCCTTTGAAGACAGAGCTCCTGTTTGCAGTCTTTCATACATTACGTGTGTTAGAGGCCCTTAACAATAATGCTTAATATGAGAATTACTGCTTTTTTTTTTGTCTTAATATTGGATTGAAAGTCTTATCTTCTTCTGATTATTTGAATCTGGGTCAGGTATTCTCCACTATTGTGGGATTGAGGGAAGCAAGTAATAGCCACTCTATCTTTGGAATGTGCTGGCCCCTTTATCAATCACTTAGGCAACCTAGTTACAAAGGATTCCTCTCTGGGACACCTAGACTTTGAGGAACCCCAAAGGAAAGAAAATAAAAGCATCTAAAGCAGGCTTTTTTGTTGTGTGAGGGCTGTAGCAAGTGAATGGGGGGAGTCTTAAGCAGTTGTCTGGTTAGACAGAGCTAGTTAAATAAGAAGAGTTGGTGAAGCCCGTGGGAGTCAAACCCTTCTCTCTATAGTTTTCCTTTGTAAAGGATAAAGATAGGGTTGAGTGAACCCAGAAGCTTTTTCCTGTCAGGAGGGAATTAGAACAAAGATTTTCTTTAAAGACAGTGTGCTTAGTACTGTCTAGTGACAGATGAATCTCAAAAGACTCAGTTGTGATAAAGCCCCAATGTGTAGATTCTCAGTGGAAGCAGAGTAACTTCCTAAACTTTTCTCTACTTGTCCTTTGTTCCGCTGACACCTAATTTCCTGTTTCTGGCTCTGTTCCCTCATCTTAATCCCATCCGGCCCTTTACCTGGAAGTATTCTTAGGAAAAAAAAAAAATCCAAGTTGTCCCCCTTCTGAAAATAAATATAAGTGCAAGTTGTCAAACAACCATCATGTCACAATAGAGTGGCACTGTGTTGAAATGCTCAGAAGATTTGGAGTTCTTATTCAGCATTAGATTTTCTGCTTGATTGAAACTTTCTGAGTTCATTTTTCTGAGATACTAATATTTACTTACATTACAGGAATTCTGGGGCAAATAAATAATAGGAGCTAGAAAATCATTTAAAATACCCATTGCTTCAAGAATGGTAAATGTGATGAAAACTTTTCTGTACACTTGCAAGGAACAACTCTCTTCACTTGTCTATAGTTACTCCATTGATTGCAGCTTATCCTCAGCACCAGGCTACCAGGTTCCATGCAGTTCTATTGTTGCCACCTGTTTCCCTATAGATACTGAATTATTTTGTTGACTTCTTGTTATGACTTGTGTTTGACATGAAATTTTACTCAATGCAAATAAATTTTTATTACCGTATTCTAATATACAACTCTGGAGTATTATATATACATGATAAGCTGGATATATCTATATGAGATAATTGCTGAAAAAAATGTTTGACTGTGGTGGCCTGATTCCGTAAAACCAGTAAAGTTATATAGTCCCCATTTTCAGCATTTTGATACTGTGTTTCTATCATGATTCACATTTCTCCTTAGGGAATGTCTCTCAAATATGTAGGGAAGCAAACATGAAGAAATGTTTTGCTGGCCGGATGTGGTGGCTCATGCCTGTAATCCCAGAACTTTGGGAGGCTGAGATGGGTGGATCACTTCAGGTCAGGGGTTCGAGACCAGCCTGGCCAACATGGTGAAACCCCATCACTACTAAAAATAAAAAAAAAAATAGCCAGGAGTGGTGGTGTGCACCTGTAATCCCAGCTACTAGGGAGGCTGAGGCAGGAGAATGGCTTGAACCCGGGAGGCGTAAGTTGCAGTGAGCTGAGATTGTGCCACTGCATTCCAGCCTGGGCAACAGAGCGAGACTCTGTCTTGAAAAAAGAAAAAAAGACAAAAGAAATGTTTTGCCAACACATGCCCCTGCTATCAGTGGTTGTGCAGTTACGCATTGCACAAATTTAAGGGAAACCGTTCTCACGATAGTTGGTCTGTGTGACTGCCAGAATGCATCCCTCTTTCTATATTTTCTCCCCTTCTTTAAGACAGTACTTATTAAATAATACAAATGATTGCAATATCCATTAGATCACTGAGTCAAGTATAAGCAATGCCGACTTTGTCAATTATTCATGATTTTGTTGGAGTTGGCTCCTGTCTATTTCCAGTTTCATTACACAGTGATTTCCTTCTATTCATGTATGCTGCATAGAATAGTCCTCCCTTATCCATGGAGGATATATCTCAAGACCCCCAATGGTTGCCTGAAACCTAGAATAAACCCTAAATACACTATGTTTTTTCCTAAGTCAAAAACATTCACCTTTTCACTTAAAGGGAACACTTTATGGCTTCTCTTTGGCATATCCCACTTACTAGCATCACTACTCTTGCACATTGGGGGTGATTATTTTTAAAAATTTCAACATTTCAATAGCTTTAGGTGTGCAAGTGGCTTTTGGTTATGTGGATGAATTTTGTACTGTAGAAGTCTGGGTTTTCAGTGCACCCATCACCTAAATACTGTACATTATATCCAATAGGTAATTTTCATCCCTCACACTCCTCACACCCTCTCCCTTCTGAGTCTTCCATTGTGTTCATTTAGAATCAGTGCCTCCTCCCACCCCATGGATACCAGTGATTTGTTTTCTCTCCCTATGTTTTTGCCTTTTCCAGTATGCTATATAAATAGAATCATACATTACCAATGTATTGGGTCTAGCTTCTTTCACTTAGCATACTCTACTTCAGATTCATTCACATTATTTTGTGTATCAATAGTTCATTCATTTTTATTGCTGACTAGTATCCATTGTGAGACTGTATCACAGGTTATCTATTGATGTAATGAGGATATTTGAGTTGTTTTCAGTTTTTGGACATTATGAATAAACTTAGTATAAAAGTTCAAGAAAGATTTTTTTTATGAACATACTTTTTCATTTCACTGGGGAAAATTCCTAGGATTAGGATTGTGTCATTTGTTAAGTACATGTTTAACTTCATGAGAAATTGATAAACTATTTTTTGAAATAAGCTATGCCATTTTGCATTCTCACCAGCAATGTGTGAAAAATCTAGTTGCTCAATAACCTTGCCAATACTTGGAATTGTAGTTGTTATTTATCTATTTATTTATTATTTTAGCCATCCAATAGTTATGTAGTGGTGTCTGGTAGGGGTTTTAATGGCTAATAATGTTTTATACATAATTATACATAATTTTATTAGTTAATTTATCTATATTCTTCTCTGATTTTCTTTTTAGATTCTCTCTTCTACGTGGATTTTGAAAACAGGGCAAATGTCACCTTCTCTGTAGCAGCTTTTCAGACTGCTAAGAGAAACTCTTCCTCCTTGGTGTTAGAGTGGCAGTAGGAACTTGCCTTTGGTGGTTCATTTCTTACTTGACTCTACCTGCCTGCTTCTCTGTAAAAATGTTGAATTCCAGGTGAATAGGGACTCTGTTGTACTCATGTTTGTATCTTGGGTTCCTATTTCAGAGCCTGGTGCTTAGCTTATGTTTAACTAAATTGTAATTAAATATATGAATTTAGATCAACTTAGTTTCCTCGCATGTCCAATAATAGAGTTAGACCCTATATAATTACAGTGGTTCTGTCTGTGCAGGTGCTGTATGATTTTATCATTTCATCTGGCTGCAGGGAATAAGTTCTACTAAATGTGTCAAGAGTAGAGAGGAAGGAAAATACATATATGCATGGCAGCTAATGCTATGATAATTATCTATAATAATAATTACATATATTGAGTACAGAATAGGTGGCAGGAATTGTACCAAATCAAATATTTCATACACTATTTAATTTGTTTCTCATAACAATCTTGTAAAGTAGGTATTATTAACTAATATCCTCATTTTATAAATCAGGAAATGGAATATCAAAGAGGTTGAAGTAACCCATCCAAAGCCACCCAGCTGTTAAATTGCAGAGCTGGGATATGAACTCGGATCTGCTGCTCTCTAAATCCTCTGCCATTCCCCATTGGGCAGCATAGTTCTACCCTATGCGTGCACTGTCCCAAATTCATTGCGTTCCCCATCTGTTCTAAAAATCATAGTTGAAAGTCCCAGGAAATAAAGGGATTTCCTGCCTTTGAAGAAAACAAATAAAAAGTGATTTATAAATAACCTCTTTAAACAGTTACTGAGGGAAACCCAGAAATAATAGGTGGAATTTAATGAGCCATTTGGATGTCTAAGGTAATTTATCATAGTTGAAAATATCGCACCTTTCTTTGAGAAATCAAAATGCCATACACCAGATGAATGAATCAGGAGGTTGACATTCCTGCTGACCAGAGTTCAGCAGCTGTTAGTATTAGCAGTGTGTGTAAGCTATTTCGGGGATACGGAGGTTCTATTTCTTCCATCACTCCTGTCGCTCAGCCCAAGATCCTGTTGCTTCTCTTAATTGCATGTGCTTTATTTGGTAGTACCTGACAGTTTATTAAAGCAAAAAGAAACTGTTGTGGTTTATCATTAAACTCCCACTGTAATTACATTTTCACACATGTAGGCTCTTGTCAGCCTTACAATTCAGCTCAATATTGCATATGTTAATGCTATTAGGATATTAACAACTATTAGATGCTAGGCAGAGCAATCTGTTTTTTCATTAAGCAATAAGTAACATTACTTATTGCTTAATAGGGATAGGCTATTGAGGATACTGACAAGTGAGCAAAGCCCTGAGGCTTGGAAAGAGCCTCCATGTTGAAGCTGAACCCTGTGCTGCCACTCCCCCGAGTTCAGAGACAGGCTGTCAGTCACCCCAGTGTTCTGTATGTGCCTAGTCATGACAGGGCCTTGGAGGTTTAGAGTGGGAGAAAAACAGCTCAATGCATTAAAAAAAACTTAAATAGCCTTATTCTCATATCCTTCATAGGATAAAATCCTGAGGTAAGAGGGATGTTGTTCTAACACATAGTGAGTCCTGCAGGCAATAAGCTTGCTTCCTCTCCTCACTTTTCCCTCTCTGTCAGTCTCAGAGACCCCTCTTTCATTCTTCACTAGACAAGGTAGAACAGCAGTGCCCTTCTCTCCAATATGGTTCCCTTAGCCAATATACAGGGTCTAACCATTTTGAGATGTACTTTGGCCAGATCTGAAATCCTGTCTTAATCAGTGAACTATGTGGTAGCAACGATTTCTTTAAATTCATAAAATGGTGGATGGAAAGAATCAGGCAGCAGGTGGTAGGATAACAAATATCTACATCACTTTCTTCCAAGCAAATGGAACACAATAGTCCCCCCTTATCAACGGGGGTACATTTCAAGACTCCCAGTGGAGGCCTGAAACTGCGGATAGCACCAAATCCCATATACACTATGCTTTTTCCAATACATACGTACTATGATAAAGTTTAATTTATAAATTTGGCACAGTAATAGATTAACAACAATACTTGATAATAAAATACAACAATTATCATAATATAGTACAGTAAGAGTTATATGAATGTGATTGCTCTCTCGAAATATCTGTATTGACCTCACCCTTCTCGTGATGATGCACAGTAATATAATGCATACGTGCTGAGATAGGAAGTGAGTTGAATAACGCAGGCATTATGATGGAGCATTAGGCTACTAATGACATAAATCACAGCACTGTGATAACTTTACAGTTGATGTGTTAGCCAAGGCAGCTACTAAGTGACTAATGAGCAGGGAGCATCTACAGTGTAGATACCCTGGACAAAGGGATGATCCATGTCCTGGGTGGGACAAAGTGGGATGGCATGAGATTTCATCACACTACCCTGCAGCACATGCAACTGAAAACTTATTATTTCTGGGCCGGGCACGGTGGTTCATGCCTGTAATCCCAGCACTTTGAGAGGCCAAGGCGGGTGGATCATGAGGTCAGGAGCTTAAGACCATCCTGGCCAACATGGTGAAACCCCGTCTCCACTAAAAATACAAAAAAAAAAAAAAAAATCAGCTGGGCGTGGTGGCGCATACCTGTAATCCTAGCTACTTGGGAGACTGAGGCAGGAAAATCGCTTGAACCAGGGAGTTGGAGGTTGCAGTGAGCCAAGATCACACCACTGCACTCCAGCCTGGGTGACAGAGCAAGACTCCGTCTCAAAAAAAAAATTATTTCTGAAATTTCCCATTTCATACTTTTGGACCATGATTGACTGCTGATAACTGAAACCTCAGAAAGCGAAACTGCAGATAAGGAAGGACTACTGAACTCTTGTTAAGTATTCAGAAAGGAGGGGTACTGATGAATTGTTTGATCTTCTGAATGAAAATGTGCTCTTGCTCTTTGAAACTATTTTTATTACTACTTATATTATGGTTCACAGGCAGCAACAGTTGTACAAAATTGGAAGTACTGTATAAGATAATAGAGAAAGAAATGTAAAAAAATATATCTGGAAAGAAACAAAGCAAAATGAACCCATAAGAAATTGTTTATAAATTATGTGAAGTGTCATAATTTCATAGGTTGGCTTTGAAAGCAATTGTGCTAGTTACCATTTGAGCATGGTTCATATATTATAATAATATTCGCATTATTGCCAGGCTTCTTTCAGAATGTATTGATGAACAATGTATTAGATTTTGGATATCTTTACTCATTTCTCCCAAATTAGCAGTATCTATTATCTACTTGTAGTAGTTATAAGTAGTTTTCTAAATTTGTTATACTAGACAAAGATTTAACATATATCATGAGAATCACATGTTATTACATGTGGTGGTTTGAAAATCACCCACTTGACTCACTCTCCTCACCTCACTGTTGTTCCCTTCACCCTCCCAAAGAGGAGTTGCTATTTTAATTGAGTTCAATATATCTGGACTTTTCTTTGGATGGTTTTATAATGTCACCATATCATGGTGAAAAATTTTTTAAACAAGCAAGGGACGGTGGAAACTTGGCATCACTTTCTAAAATGAGGAGGATAACAGAATTTGAGGAAAGTTCTTTCTTCTCTATAGAGCCATCCTTTACCCTCATCACATTGCTTCTGCTTATCCACCACACCTACGAATTGCTACTTTGGCCAGATTTAAAGACACAAATTAGGCCCAATTTATAGTTGGGAGTTAAATCTGTCACAAAGTATTACACATGAATGAAGCTCTATCATTTTTGTTTCTTGCTTCCATGTTGTAAGTTGACATGACAGCCCCACTCTCTGTCTCTTTCAATCCCTTACTTACATTGTAAAAAGAACAAATGGAGTTGGCCTAACTTTTTGCGGCATGATGAGCTATCTTGACTTCACACCATTGCTTTCATACATTGGATTTCTCATTAATTTGGGCTCAGCAGCCTGTTAGGGGGGAAATGAGAACTTAAACTTAAGGCCAAAGAAGAGCATTTCCTTTCCTCTAAATTAATCACTTCAATCCAGATTTATTTTAGGGTTTAATTAGGAGTTATGGACAGTTGAATAATTATAATAACATGGTAATTAAACTTCTGATTTGTTGCTCTCTCATGTTTGTGTAGCTCCTTTTGAAATCTCATATCTTAGGAATGACGGGAACTTGTAGGGATGATGGGACCGTAATCAATCACATGCTGTAACTCAATACAATAAAGAACTTCAACTTAATTCCTAATATTTTGATTATTGTCTATTTTTCAGTGGATTTAGTTTAATTATTCTCTTTCAGACCTCTAGAAAGATGATAGAAATATATAATCCTTTCCCAAATTTGGCCACTGGTAAACTATAAGAAAAGTTGTATTAGCGGATGTTATTTGTGTAATTTGTTTTCTGAAGAATCAATGCATATATTTTCCCCAACTGCATTATAAGCACCTTAAAGAGAAAAATGACATATTATTCAAAATTTTGGACCCTAACACAATGTACAGCACCTAGGGAGTACTCAGTAAGTATTTGCTGAATATAATAGATAACTGTGCTATATTAGTTGTCAAAAGGGCTAATTTTCTACCTATAATTTTGTGTTTCTCTCCATTTTTCACATTTTAGGAAAACAGTATGAGGAGTGATTTATAGATTTTACATTTGACCTTTCCAAATGAATTAAAAATAAGTGTAGATTATTGTGCATTTGATTTAGAAATTATAATTACATTCTCATGTAAGAGAGCCTGGAAATAGCAAAACACTGCTCTTAGAGGCTGTCAGTCAGCTCATCCTGTCTGTCATCCTATCCCATATATTGTTGAATGAATAAATATATAATTCAATTAGTTGCATTAAGAGCTAAATAACAATTTTATTTGGTTTACAGTTTTAGGGAGGTTCAGTTTACTTAGCAATATATGTACAAAAATCCTGTCAGGGTATTTTGTATACAGAACATAGGGAAAGGGATTACTATTATCTTTCTCATTTTTGTACATTTTCTATCTTTTTAGAATTTCTACAGTTCTCCATTGCTGTTGGACAGTAGAAGGCCAGTTATTTTTCTTTTGTGTATTTTTTTTTTATTCTGGTGAGCTTAGACATGACCAATAGAAACATATTCATAGAGGGCAGTTATCTCCAATACTAAAATTTTATAAAGAGCTTGCCTCTGTGAAATTTTATATTTGAAAAGCTTGTAGTAAGATAAACAGTTCTGTTTCAGGCTGCTCATGACTCTATTAAATGAGACTGATATAGCAAAAAGATAAAGTAAAATTGAATAATATTTGACTTGGCAAATTGTACATTTAGATTCTTTTCTCTACTAAAACGCCATAGGTGCTGAAAATTGTAGTCTTTGAATATCGAAAATGATGTCTTTTTGTGACTCCATTCAAATCCTAGAACATAACTACTCTGATTGTTAATACTAAGTGTCAACTTGATTTGATTGAAGGATACAAAGTATTGATCCTGGGTATGTCTGTGAGGGTATTGCAAAGGAGATTAACATTTGAGTCAGTGGGCTGGGAAAGGCAGACCCACACTTAATTTGGGTGGGCACAATCTAATCAGCTACTAGCAGGGCTAGAATATAAGCAG
The DNA here is from genome assembly GCF_000001405.40 of Homo sapiens. Taxonomy (NCBI): domain Eukaryota; kingdom Metazoa; phylum Chordata; class Mammalia; order Primates; family Hominidae; genus Homo; species Homo sapiens. The sequence continues at coordinate 22,641,288 of NC_000006.12, forward strand.
GCAGAAAAATGTGAAAAGAGAGACTGGCCAAGCCTCCCAGCTACATCTTTCTCCCATGCTGGATGCTTCCTGCCCTCGAACATTGGACAAATTCTTTAGTTTTGGAATTTGGACTGGCTCTCCTTGCCCCTCAGCCTCAAGATGGCCTACTGTGGGACCTTGTGATCGTGTGAGTTAATACTTAATAGATTCATATATATATATATATTCCATTATTTCTGTCCCTCTAGAGAACCCTGACTAATACAACTACCCACCATCTCACAAGTTCCCCAGAACATTTTTTTTTTTTGTTTTGAGATGGAGTCTTGCTGTGTTACCCAGGCTGGAGTGCAGTGGCACCATCTCGGCTCACTGCAAGCTCCGCCTCCCGGGTTCACACCATTCTCCTGCCTCAGCCTCCTGAGTAGCTGCGACTGAAGGCGCACGCCACCACGCCTGGCTAATTTTTTGTATTTTTAGTAGAGACGGAGTTTCACCATGTTAGCCAGGATGGTCTCGATCTCCTGACCTTGTGATCCACCCGCCTTGGCCTCCCAAAGTGCTGGGATTACAGGCATGAGCCATGGCACCTGGCCAAGTTCTCCAGAACTTCTTGGTGGCAGAATTTTAGAAAGTAATGAGGCTCTTTGTAGAATGCCATGAAATATACATTGTAGTTTCACTATACTATACACAGTCACAATCACAAAGGCTTATGTGCAGGGCAGTAGAGGAGCCCATGAACCATGAGCGGTCTTTTCAGAAGCGTGGCATTCTGAGTAGGAGCTCAAATCTGGATTCAGAGGTGAGTTCAAATTCCAATTTTACTGCTTACTAAAGGGGGCTGTTAGGAAAGTAGCTCATTCTCTCTCTGGCAGAAATGGCCAACTGTTCATCAAAATTTGTATCATCACCCATTGTGTGGAGATGTTGCTAAGCACAGGCTTCCCAGTCATGGACTCAATTTCCTAATCATCTTTGCATCTCTAGGGAGCTATGTGACCAGCTCTCACTAATGGAAGGTGAGCAGGAATAAAGTGTGTTATTTCTTGGTTCACATGATTAAGAAGTAAGTGTGCCTCCTTTCCTCTTTCTTCCTCTTCCACAGTGACCTTGGAAGCCAAGTGCTAAAGATAATGGAGCTATGACAATAAAGAGCTTGAGTCTTGAATCATTACATGGCAGACCATCCACTCAGCACTCTCATCGAACAGTTATGTGTAAGAAAAATAAATAAATGTATATTTTAGCTGCTCAGATTTCGGGGCTTATCTGTTCTAGCAGCTAGTGTTACTTTAACTACTGTAGTCATTAAACTTCAGCTTTTCTCACTGATATAATGAAGATAAATGTATTTATATTTTCTATATATGTTCAATAATTATGAGTGTTCTAGATGAGCTAATGCATGTAGAGCATGGAAAAGAGAAAGTTCTCAACAAATGTTAGAATTAATATTATGAGGGTTTGCTATTGTTATTTTTATAAGATCTCTGTGAATTTTACTAACACCAATGTTTCCTGGAGGATATGCAGTAACAGATACCAAGGGATTAAAGATAAATATATGTGGAAAATAATTAACACTGAGAATGTAGTCAGTGGTGCCGTTTCTTTCCCTATGGGTCAGGAAAAGGTTTCTATTTATTTGGTTTTGCTGAATTCAGCAAGCTGCAAGCAACATTACCTTGAAATTAGGTTGAGCAACCAGTGTAGCTTTGCTCTATACATAAAAATACAGGATCAGAGCACAGTGCCTCCATCCGTTCCTCATTCCATCTTCACATCACTTCTCTTGTTTTAAAAGATTCATTTTAGAGAATCTATTGTCTTCAGGTGTTACGTTGGTTGATTTTACTTGCACATCTTTAAAACAGGAGAGATGGCATTCATTGGTAAAACTCCTAGGGAATAGAGGCACATGATCAGTCATGAGCTTCAGCCTCAGGCACTGCAAAGCATGGAGCAAGATAGTGTAAAGGGAGATGAGTAAACCAGTGACAGAAATGGTACAGCTGGTGCAACCAGTCATGTGGGGATATACAAGAAATGAGGACACCGTTCTCAAATCTGCTCAAAATTGCATGCATTTCAATTTATTCCCAGGACCACGGTCTCACGTCCTCTGAATTTCACTGTTCACACAGTCCTTGGTATACTATTTTGTTAGTAAATCCTTCCTGACTCTTTGAAGAGAAGGGATAATTGTTTTCTCACAAAGAACAGGCTGACATTCAAGTGGTATTCCTCACTTCAAAGTTTATTCCGCATAAAATATCTACACTTTAGTTTATCAAGTACATGGATGTGTTACTTCTATGCAGACACTTTCAGGTTTGTGCCTATATTGGCTGTTGTTATTTTAGACTATTTTTATTAGGTGCAGTATCATATATCTAAGGTTCTTGTACTGGTTCGAACCCCGAGAGCGCGCCAACAGACAACATGAGGCGGTGGAAGCAACATGCTGTTTTAATGAGCGCCTGGGTGCAGGCGGTCTGAGGACTAAAATGGTGTCAGCCCCTAGTGAGGACAGGGCAAAGGTTTTATAGTCTCCTATAAACAGGAAGTGTCTTAGTCTGACGTAACTGCTACGTTGTACCCGGATGGCCTCTTCCTCAATCTTCAGGGGTACGCGTCTTCCGGCCAGGGTAGGTGTCTTCTGCTGGCTCTCTTCTTGCTACTGCTATTTTGCTGGTGCAGGCTGCTGGCGCGGGCTGCTGGCACAAGTTGCGCCTTGGGACTGGGCCTGAGAAGGGAGGAGTTATTCATCTCCTTAAGCTTTCAGGCCCCGGGGAGAATTTACAGTATGATATTAAGATTGTTATACACTAAGTTGGGATGATGAAATTGATATAAACAAATAGAGTTAAAAGCTACTTTAGAAATATTATTTACACTTTATGTCCCTTCTTTTTTATCCAAGATAGAAACGTTTCTGGAGAAAATAACAGAAGGTAAGATATACATTCTACAGAACAACAAAATATAAACATTCTCATTCTATGTGTCCTCATATAGCCTTATATAGAGAACTAAGTAGCTATTCAATACGATTTTGTTAAATCAAAGTTTGGTGTTGATACATGCAACAAAATCTGACCCCATGTTTATTTTCAGAGTTCAAATAGGTTTACAGTGTGAGAAGATTGGATTCAGGTCATTAAAACTGTAGGTGGATATCTCACTAATGTGCTGTATATCCATTAGTAGAGAAGCTTCTATTGACTGAGCACTTCTATCATGTAAAAGTGTTTTCTGAGCTGCTCAGTCTCTGTCAGTTAATGTCTGGGTGAAGAACTGAGGGCCTCAGGCAAGACTAAGGGCACTTGATCCCAACGGCCATTAAATATACCTGACCTGGAGGGTATTAACACTGCAGACATCTCAGGAGCGCCAAAAAAATCTGCGTAATAAAGTTTCCTTATATTTGAAGGTTCAGTTTGTGTTCCTATTTTTCCCTTGTAGAGTTTTATTCTTGTGCTAACATATGACCAATAGAAAACAACACGTGACTTATTCCATTAGGATTTATATATATATATATAATATAAATTGTATATAAATCGATAGTACTATGTAAAAAATACATTACCTATAAATCTACAGTTATATATAAAAATACTTATATACTTACAAACTATCGTATATACACTTATGTATATAAATATATGTAAATTTTATGTATGAATATATAAATACTTAGATATATACATACAAACTATTGTCTTAAGTGATCAAAACATCTTTTAAATTTAACATAGGGAAGCAACATCAAAAGGTATAATTTAGCAGAGCTTCTAAATGGAAGCTAAAGTCCCAAATGTTCCTCTTGATTTGGTGATTTACGACTTCTGTTACTCTAAATAAGTTACTTTATTTTCTTGGATATTCAGTTTCTTTACTGGTAAAGTGAAAAGCGTAATTTTTTCTTATCATGTGTTAGTACAGTTGTGAAAAATTGAGAAAGTATAAAATAGAGGCTTTTGTATTATTACACAATTTACACTGTTTATATATTAAATTGACTATTATACGTTCAATAAAAACAAATCTCCATTTTATCAACTAGTAATTTTTTCACAGATATTATTAGCTAATTAAAGTGTATGTCCACCTGGTTATATCTTCCCACATACAATATTCGAAATTTAAGTTACCATCCTGACTTCTTTGAAAATACTCACAAATCTTTTTTCTTGATACATTATATAGATATTATTGCACATGCATATTATTTATATTTATATTATTCATGATTTTACCAGACATTTAATAGAATTTAAATAAACTGCAGTGCTTTGGAAAATTTCTGTTTCTTCAGAAAACTGGAGAAACCTCTGAGAATGCTGCATTCGTAATAAATTACTGATTTTTCCTTCCCCAAGAAGAGAAATGAATACATAAAGAGTTTGAGGAACATCCTTTCCATTGGATAATCTTTACCTTTCTACTTGTTCTCTTCCAAGTATTCTAAGTAGTAGGCTCTTAGACACGACCTTGACGTCAGCAAATGATATTATTCCATGTGTGAATATGCTCCAGATTCCTCTCTCTGCTATTACAATGTGATTTTCTCACATTTTAAGGCAAAGGGACATTTTGAATGTGCTCAGACACATTTGCCCTATTCAGAGGACAGAAATTGTTGAGCTTGAAGGAAATCTTTTTTTTCCTATATAGCTGCCCAATCCAGAAATGTTCAGCTGCAGATCCTGGCCTCTCCACACTTAATTCACAAGCCCAGAAGTGCAAATGCTTCTTTAACAAGGGAATGCGAACCTGCTGCTAAACTGAAATATGAGAACATTTCTACTCTTTTTATAATTTTCTTGGTTAGTTCATATCCATGCCCTCAGTGTTTTTGTTTATTTGTTTGTTTGTTTTTTGTTTGTTTGTTTGTTTTTGAGACGGAGTCTCACTCTTTTTGCCCATGCTGGAGTGTGGTGGCACGACCTCGGCTCACTGCAACTTCTGCCTCCCGGGTTCGAGCGATTCTTCTGCCTCAGCCTCCCGAGTAGAGTAGCTGGGATTATAGGCGCCCGCCACCACACCCGACTAATTTTTGTATTTTTAGTAGAGACGGGCTTTCACCATGTTGGCCCGGCTGGTATCGATACCTGACCTCAGGTGATCCGGCCCGCCTCAGCCTCCCAAAGTGCCGGGATTACAGGCGTGGGCCACTGTGCTCGGCCGGCCCTCAGTATTTTTATTTCAGATATTTAATAAGACATTTTGGTTAATTATTCTATAGCTAAATAAATTCTCTTTAATTTGCCCATCACTGTTAACTTAAACAGTTTTTCTTTTCCCCTCAATAAATGATAGCTTTCTTTCATCTTTGGTCATATTTGGTGTTGAAGCCTGTTTTCCATAATATTGATAAAAGTGAGTAAAATGCAGAAATGCTGCAGGTTTACTTTAGTTTGGCTTTAAGGATAAGAGTAAGAGGCGGAAGGGGGTTCAAAGCTTTTCATTTTATGGTACTGCTTTGTAAAATGGACCTTGCCTGTCATGCAATGTCATAATGGCATGATTGGCCTGCTTCTATTTTCCTATAGACATGGCAGGAGAAATGATTGAGAGCTTTTCCAGTTTGGCATGGAAACAAAGCAAAGCAATTTCAGTGTGGTAACAAGACTAAGGAGGAGACAGATGCTGTGCGGGCAACAGTACCAGAGCTAAGGGATGAGAAACTTCTCCATAAGATGTCCCTTTATTGCTCCAGCAGCTATTATGGGCTGCGTCTCCCCAAGCATGGCAGCTCACCACTGTGGAACCCTAAATAGAATGACACTCAGTGTTGAATGGCAAGGCCTCTGGTCATAAATAAGATAAGCCGAAAGACATTTGATGGTTATCACAGAAATGGACTTTCCTTACTTGGAATTTTCCTGCCTAAACATCCACAGGGAAAAGCTACATGTTGGGACTTCATAATTCATTTCAAGCATTTTGTTTGCAAATCTCAAAGCTTGATTTTTTTTCTAAGTTTGCAGGTACTTCAATATTTGTATTTCCATTTCAGATTTTTAAAATTCATTGCTTTAAAGAACTACATCTGAAGAACAATGTTTAGCTCTTTATTTATTATTGTATTTTATTTATCTAAAGACCAATATGTTGCTTCCTACTGATAACATCAGATGAATATTATCGTGAAGTTAAATTAGCTTCTTCAACAGTGAGCTCTGTGGAATAGATGCACCTTTCCTTCTAGTGTGACCATTTGAGATGGAACAGACCAGAGGATTTTCCATCCCATTGCTAGAATATGTTTCTGTGACAAAGTTCTAGCAAGTTTTAGTCCGTAATCCATTTCAAGAGAAATTCCCATTTCTGTTTTTTTTTCAATTATGTCTTTTAACTTATATTTTCTGGATCTTATTCCATTTGAGTGAAATGTGAATAGATGAAGAGATGTGGTATCAGAGCTCATTAAACAAAACTTTTCTGGTAACATGTTTCATCCTATTTAGTTATTTGAATTCAGATAAGCTTAAAGGAAAAGAACAAAACAAAGCTATAAAGAAAATTGGAAGTTATTCATTGTCATTCATCATAAACAAGCTCAGAGGCTGGGATATTTGGCACGATGACAATGAAACTGCAGGAAATTGAGCACACTCCAATGTTGGTGAGGACGGTCCATCCATTCTGCATATGTCTGCGTCTTTGGGACTTAGAGTCTGGCAAGTAGAAGAGGGATTTCATCTTGTTGGAAAATATAAGTTGGAAAATCAACCCACATGAAATTGCAGAAGCCAAGGGGTGAGTGTTCTAGAAAGTGTCTAATTCTTTCTTTGCTTTTAGCTAGGCTGCATTACATGATTCTATGTGTTCATTATTTTTGGACACTTTCTAAAGAGTAGCTAGAATTGTAAAGACACTACTAAGGTGATAATTTAAAAACTATGCTGTCATTCATATCAATTAAAAATAAACTCAGGTATAAGACTTGGCCCAACTTTCTATTTTCTTGCTGAAATTGATTGTTTAATTTCATTTTTGTTAGTTGAATATGTTTGGGTTTCTCTATGGTGCATCTAATAAGATTTTGTGTCCACATTGTGAGGCTTTATGGCCTTTCTCCTTTCAGTATTTCAGTGTGTTTATGGTTGCTGCTCATGTTTAACCTGCTACTCTTAACTTTTAGCAGTGGGAATTAAGAGTTCAGGCATCTGAATCTATTTAAATATCAAAACTCTGGGAAGCTTCTCTGATAACCAAATCACATTTATCCATGCACTTGTTCTGAGCAGCAGTTGAAGTTAGGTGATATTTTACTTAGTGATCCTTATATAGCATTTATTATTTATTAAGCTCAGTTTTCAGTTTTTTTTACAAGTGTTAGTTTATTTAATCTGCATAACAAAGTCGTTAGAAGGTATTATTTGTATTCATAATTTTCAGATGAGGTAATTTAGGTGCAGAGAAGTTTAAGCACTTGTTCACATTCACACAAGAGCAAGTGTTAGAGTAAGGATTTAAGCTTAACCAGGATAGTTCTGGGGGGTACTAGGTTGACCACTACACCAATGCCTGTTAACCTTGATTTGCTGACCATCATGATAATTATGAAGTCAAAACAAGGAATAAACTTAGTAATTTAGTCAAATAGACTTTAATGAGGAAGCAGGTTTAAAACAAATGGTCAGTAAACACTTTTTGGGCACGTAATATACACCAAGCAATATGCCTCCTAGCAGAATGGCATTGAATGGCAAAGCTAGGTCCTCAGGAAGAGTGGCTGTCCAGGAATGGACCAGGTGGAATTAATCATATTAAATCCTATATTTAAAATTACTCTGTTCACTGTATTTTGTTGATAATCAATACAAGAAATATGGATCTAATCTTTCCAAATTGTAATTTGGGAGAATTTTATAAGAAGTGCCACTCTAATGTTTATTCTGGTAGCACTAGTAACTGAGGCTTTAGAAATAAATTGAGATTCCAATGCTATAAAATAACACTCTCAAATGTTTTGGTCTCAGGATTTCTTTACATGCTAGGAAATTTTTGAGAATAACCCCCCACCCCCCGCCAAAAAAGAAAGCTTTTGTTAATGTGGGTCATAGCTCTCAATATTTATATTAGAAATTAAAATAGAAAATTTTTAAAGTATTTAATTACTAATTCACTCTAAAGTGACAGTAATAATCCCATTGCATCTTGACACAAATGGCATATTTTAATAAGAAATAACTTTTTCAAAACAACAAAAAAATGAGCGACATTTGCTATGGTTTGGATAAAATTTGTTTGTCCCCACCAAAACTCATGTTGAAATTTGATCCTCAATGTGCCAGTGTTGGGAAGTGGGCCTAGTGGGAGGTATTTGGGTTATGAAGGTGGATTCCCCGTTAATGGTTCTGTGCTGTTCTGGTAGTAGTGCGTTCTCACTCCATTTTTTTTTTTTAAACACAGGGTCTCACTCTCTCATCCATGCTGGAGCATGGGGGTACAATCATAGCTCACTGCAACCTTGAACTCCTGGGCTCAAAGGATCCTTCCAGTTCATCCCCCTCTGAGTAGCTCGGATTACAGGCATACACCACCACGCCTGGCTGAGTTCTCAATCTTGAAAGATTGATTTAGTTCTCATGTAAATGAATTAGTTCCTGTGGTAGTGGGTTGTTATAAAGCCAGGATGCCCTTCGGTTTTCTCCTCTTCACACATGTCTACTTTCCCATTGCCCTTCTCCACCATGTTGTGATGTGGCATGAAAGTCCTGTCCAGAAGCCAGGGCCATGCCCTCGAATTTCTCAGTCTGTGGAACCATGAGCTAAATAAACTTCCTTTAAAATAAGTTTTTAGGTATTCTGCTATAAGCAACACAAAAGGTACTAATACAGCATTGTTTTAAATTTGTATGAATTTCTTTATTGTGTGGCTTAATAGAAAGCTAGATTCTTAGGTTTGTTTCTCTAAACATTCTGTTATAATCTTACACATTAAACTCTGGAAAACTCTGTTGTACACTTGTGAGAGAATGAGAGTGAAACAGAGAAATTAGCATCTTGGTTTATTATAAAAATAGTTTGGATCTTTTGAAACCTTTAAAGAGTCTTAGGAAACCCTGTGGTTCTCTGGCCGTGCTTTGAGAACCACTGGTATAGGGTAAATCCACTGCCAAGTTAATCTTTTGTTATGCTATATGTTTTAGCTTGTTTTCATCTACTATTCTCTGAATTTGAGCTTCAGCATTTCAACGTATTGATTATGATTTTCGCTTTTTTTTTTTTTTTTTGAGACAAAGTTTTGCTCTTGTTGCCCAGGCTGGAGTGCAGTGGCGTGATCTTGGCTCACTGCCAACCTCCGCCTCCTGGATTCAAGTGATTCTCCTGCCTCAGCCTCCTGAGTAGCTGGGATTACAGGCACATGCCACCACGCCTGGCTAATTTGTGTATTTTTGGTAGAGACGGGGTATCATCATGTTGGCCAGACGGTATCGAACTCCTTATTTCAGGTGACCTGCCCACCTCGACCTCCCAAAGTGCTGCCCACCTTGACCTCCCAAAGTGCTGGGATTACAGATGTGAGCCACTGTGCCTGGTTGATTATGATTTTCAAATACCAGGTGACTCCTGCCTAGCATTGGTATATTTTATATATATTAAATGTCCATGAATTTTAAAAAATTTAAATGAAAGCACATGACAGTCTCAAGTACTCCAACACTTGAGAAGCTACAATATGGTGTACAGTGCACACAAGGTGATTTGAGCATCAGATAAATTGAGACAGACAGAAAGTGTTAGATGTATATGTAACTATAAGCATCTATGTTTGGCTTAATAAAAACACAATGTTTCTTATGTATTGTCCTGTAATTAACAGTTTAATACTTTCCTATTAACCAGTCTACCTGGACTCATTTTTTTTTTATTTTTAATAATCTGCAGAGGTGGGTATATTGATCAAATTAGTAATGGCAACACTACTCTTTCACAATTTTGAAAATAGTGTCTAGGTTGGAATAGCCAACGAAATAGTAGATATTTATAATTTTTGCAATGCTTTTAAATGTGTTGTTAATACTCGTTTGACTAGTTGACTTTATTGTGGCTGAAATGCAGGCTCAAAAGTAGTAAGAGGCACTTACTGTTTCTAAGTTCTATTATGGGGTGTGAAGGTCCTTTAGTTTTCCCAAGGTCTGATAGGCATGGGGGCTTTTAATTTCACGTGGGATGCTTACAAATCGTCTTCTATTTACACGTAGCTTTTGAAGTAATTATTTTCCCTTTTAGTGTCCAAATCTCTCAAGCAAAGAGGCTTTTTAGTAAAAATTGTGATTTAAAGAGAATAATTGTTTCAGAAGAGTAGTGAAAAATGTTCAAATTGACATTTTGAAGGAAAGCACAAACAAAAGAAATTAATTTTATTTCAAGAAAAGAGAAAAAGTTTTTTCCCATAACATAGTAAACATTTTGGCAAAGAAAATAGCAAGTATGAGTACATGCATGTGTATGTGTGTGTGCCCTTTTCAAGAGAAGTTGACACTAAGATGATGCTTCAGATGCCAGAGTGAAGAGGTTTCTAGTTGAAACATTTAATTATTATCCAAATAGGGTAGAGAAACAAAGTCTAATTTCTTTCCTGTATTTGGAAGTGCTTGGTGTGGATAAGAAGTCTGAGTGACAGCTGCAACTGCCAAGCAACCTCATACAATGGGAGTATTCTGCTTCTCAGTTACCGAAGGAGACTCTAAGGCCTTCTCCCACGTTTGGAGGCAAGGAGTCCTCTTCTTCTTTGGCATCTTCCATTAGCAGTTTTAAGAGAGTTTGTTACCCATTTTCAAAAGTATGTTCGTAAAGATGGTGAATGCTAAAGAATGACTTAAAATATATATACATTAACATAGAGCAAACTATAACAAAGTAGGGTAAATAAATGCATTTTAAATTAATAACTTTTTCTTTTTTTCTCCTTTTTTTGATCAGGTGCATTTATTCCTTTTTGTTGTTGTTGTTGTTGTTATTACTTCTGCTTTTGTTTTTGAGACAAGATCTCATTCTCTCACCCAGGCTGGAGTGCAGTGGCGTGATCTCTCGGCTCACTGCAGCCTGGACCCCCCGGGCTCAAGTGATCCTCCTACCTCAGGCTCTTGACTAGCTGGGACTACAGATACATGCCACCACACCTGGCTAATTTTTTGTATTTTTGGTAGAGATGAGGTTTCACTATGTTGCCCAGGGTGGTCTCGAACTCCCAAGCTCAAGTGGTCCACCTGCCTCAGCCTCCTAAAGTGCTGGAATTATAGGCATGAGGCACCATGACTGGCTTATTTGCTGTGTTTAGACATGGATCTGAAGTTTCTATAGTCTGAAGTTTTTCTTTAAAATTAGCAGTAGATTTGAGCTTGTAGAAATAAACCCCTTTCCGGCCAATTGCTAAAATGCAATATTTAATAATTAAGTCAAATTGTGCTCCAAAGTAGATGTTAACTATACTCTGTTGATGAGTTGGAACACAATGTGAGCTTGAGCCATTCATTCTGGCCAATCAATAACAATCAATTATGGAAGCCAAATCAATCACACAGCAGAACACACCGATGGTTAGGGTTAGGATGGTCAGAATGAAGAAAGAGGCAATGGTGGGGTGGATTTCACATGTATAAACATAGTCAAAAGTAATAAGGAACTCTACCATGCATTGGGACACAATACATATATCTTGATGTGGAGTATAGTTTGTAAAAATAGTATTTCTACTTGAGTTTTGGAGTTAGATTTTTACACAAACATTCTATCCTGACAAGGAATCATATCTGAAAGTTAATATAAAAAGGAGTCCCTGAACTAATGAGACCTGTCAAAGTGAGGCAAATACATACTTCTGCTTATTTTGAAACTTTATTATGAAGTAATGATTTTTTTTTTTTTTTTTTGAGGCGGAGTTTCACTCTTGTTGCCCAGGCTGGAGTGCAATGGTGCGATCTCAGCTCACCACAACCTCTGCCTCCCAGGTTCAAGTGATTCTTCTGCCTCAGCCTCCCGAGTAGCTGGAATTACGGGCATGTGCCACCACGCCTGGCTAATTTTGTATTTTTAGTAGAGATGGGGTTTCTCCATGTTGGTCAGGCTGGTCTCAAACTCTCGACCTCAGGTGATCTGACTGCTTTGGCCTCCCAAAGTGCTGCGATTACAGGCATGAGCCACTGCGCCCAGCCAGTAATGATGTTTTGTAATGTAACATCTCAGGTAAGCATACATATAAAATTATAAAATACTTTTATTAATCAAAGAATTCATTTATGTATAAGTGCTTTCCACTCTAACCAAAACTGTAACAATTCCCCAAAAGTCGCCAAAGAGGAGCACAATAGTGATTCTTGTGGAAGTAAAATCAAATCATTTATTATTCAGAAGGGTGGCAGATTTACCAATACAGAAAGTTTCTGTCCCAAAATGTCCATTCTTTTGTAGCACTTGTTCTAATATTTAAATTTTTTTTCTATTGCTCATAGTAAGTTAACTGTTGTCACTTAAGATTTGAACAACTCACCTTCAGATATTTTGGTTTCTCTAAGTAAAATTATGCCATGATACAGAACATTAGGTTTGCTCTTACATTCTTATGATTTTGAATTTATTTTAGGTTTCACTGATGGAAAAATGGAGAAGGAAGATCTGATGAAACAGCAAGTCCTTAAGAGTGGGAGCCAGAAGTTTAAGTTGTAACAGGTTTTGGATAAGATTCAGAACTTAGAGGATAACGAACTGCAGAAAAATTCTTTGGAAGATAATGACTAGAGAAAAATTCTGGGTCAAAGGCAGCTATTGTGGTGCATAGTTATTCAGATTTCAAATTTGAAAAGAAATCATTGTTTCATAGGCCGAAAGGTGAGCCACTGGTATCTGTCATCAGCAAACAGGAAACATGAAGAAGAAGTACATTTATTCTATAGGTTGCAACACACAGTACAAATATACCATTAGAATACCTAAAATGCAAGATGAATCAGTCCCGTGAATTGAAACTTTGATTTTGTTCTTGAGCTAGTAAAGTTTACAGAGTTCTATGAGGAAGGACATCTGTAAAATATCTTACAATACGTTGTCTTCTATTTTGAGAGAAAGGGAAAGTATCTTTGCACTGTGAATATACCCTTTGTATTATTAACTGTGAGGACATGACAAGGCTAAACAATTGCTTCTTTCTTGTCAAAGTTTCGTTTGCTTTGGTTAGTGCCATTGTTTGAGAAAATTAAACAAGTTTCCATGTTTTAGGCTTCTTGACGTTTTTTGATGTTCCACTTAACTGCAGTGGAATAACTCGATGGAACAATTCAAGGCAGCTGTGCTCTGATCCTCAGTTGCCCTCCAAGGATAACATGACACATTTGATAAACACATTTCCTTTAACACCAAGTTCTCCAGGTCAGGCAGGCATAGCATATAGATGAAACTGATCTGAGCCTTCATCCTGAGGGAGAAGAGGGTTAGAGATGAAGGTAAACCTGGATCCCGGTTTTAACCCTGCAACATACTAGTCTCCTGAACTTGAGTATTTGTAAGTACAGAATCTGAGATTAGCTTTGCCCATGGCTTTCCACACATTGATATTTGATGGGACCTGACCCTTAAATAATCCCAAGTCATAGAAAAAGAATTTTGTGGAATAGTTGCACAGAGCATTTGCTTACTCAGTTCTGTTGCCCAGGAGCCCAAACGGTAGAGGGAGGAGAATGTGAATTCTGGAATTAGGAAGACTTGAGCTTGATTTCACCTTCTGCCATTGAACAACTGCTGAGGTTAGTTTCCTATACTCTTTGAGTCCCAGACCCTTATCTCTAAAATTTAGAATAATAATATCTACCTCACAGGATTGTTAAGAATGCTAATTGAGATTGAATATGTAAAGTACATGGCACAAAACATTCAATAAATATTAGTACTATTTAATTTAGCCTAAGGGTCTTGCTGGGTTTTTAGAGATGCTTTCCTGCCTCTTGTTGGCTCTACTGTTTACATAATTACTCTTTATTTTTCCTTTTCTCTAAAATGTTATTAATGTTTCAGTAAATCTTTTTTATATTGAAAACAATTTCTTATATAAAGTGGAACATATTGGGGGGAACTTTTCAGTAGTCATCCCGTAGGCTAAAGAAACAAAGAAACAAAAAAGATAGATGTTTTACATGTTTTTATTCTGTTGATGAGCCTCTGAGAAGATTGTTCCAGGTTCTGACACAGTCTCACCCAGGACCAAGATGGTTTTCTTCACTTTCCAACCCAATGATCTTTTAGTTTTAATATGAGTAAATCTAAGCATTGAAATACAGCATTTCCCACATAATTGTTTTTATACATTTAATATTTTAGCTCATGCAGAAAGGGGAGTTTCTGGAAACCATGCCTAAAGTGACCATCTATTGTAATCCTTGGAGAGTGTGACAATAAAAATTGTCTTGAACATTTATGTATAGCTTCTGGAAGGAGGCAGGAAAGACATCCTTAACCAACTAATAGAACTTTCACTTTTAAGGATCTGCAGTGCAGGTGATTAATTAGTAAAAATGGGCCCTGATACAAAGTCAACTTAGGGTCCACTGGATACTGCAACAAAGGACTTTTATTGTTTCTTCTTGAGTAGGGAAACAGATTTGCCTAATCAAAGACCAGATTCTTTCTTAGCAGTAAGGGAAAGAAAGTAGGTAATACTTTTTGTTTGTTTTTCCCTTCAGTAATGGAGAAAGCTCACAAAAGAAGAGAAGGGACATGCTTCACTCAGGTAGGCAATATTGCTTCTTTAACCCCAGGTGCAGCTATAGAGGCTTCCAAGTATATTAAGGTAAGAAGGCATTTGAGAATGGAGTTTACGCTGCAGGTACCCATGTCTTCCCGCATACTCCGGAGACTAGATTTGGGTTTGAATCGATTCTGTGGCTTTCTTTTACAAATTTCACTCCAGCCTAACATTGTCTCAACATTGTCCTCGCCCACTACCAATAATTTCCACTTTAGTAACAACATTCAACTATTCTTGAGAATAGCTGAGCCTCAAATTGGGTAACACCACCTCATAGTGTCATAGAACTGAGATCCCGTGACCCTACCAACCTATAGGTGTGCAGTGCATCAGCTGCTGCAACTTGTTACCCAACTGCTGCCTCTGGTCAATTAACAAAAATAAACTTCTTTCATAAAGGCAACTTGTTGGCAAAGATTTTCTTACTTAGTAAGTCTTTCCACCTCTGGTATTATAACAGAGAGGCCAAAACAAAATTAAAATTAAGATTGTCATCAGTAAGTTCTCAGGGTTAAGTACGTATACCGCTTTTGAGTTATCTTTAAAACAACTTAAGCCAAATCCTCCCTTAAAAATAATGGTTTGAATTAAATCTCATGTCTCCCAACCTGCAATCCATGATGAACAAGCTGAACTACAGCCTTAAACAACAGAGAAATCCTTGGAACCAACATTTAATTAAAAAGACCATTAGACGGTGCCTCATTGGAAGCACAGAACATGCTTAAATGAATTTTTCAATATGTAGATAAATGTTTTACCATTAGGGTTTCTTAAAGGAAGTAAAAATTGGCAACTCATTAAGAGTGTACATAGGTACTATAAACAGACAACAAAGTGCCTCTGGCATGTTTCATGATTTAGACATCAAAAGAAAAAGTCATAAAATCTACTTGCAGTAAAACAAAGTCCATTTTTCCTCAACAAGGCTGGTATCTATTAGCTACCTCATATGTGGAGAAAGAAAAGTTACCAGTCCTTTAATCAGATATATCTGAAATGTTTTGGGAATAAATATGAAATAGCGAAGAGTGTATGTATTTGATGTTTTCTATTTTTTACACTATACAAATGAGAATGACCTTGGTGGTTTAAAACATTCATCCTCTCTGTTTCTAATAATACCTACAATCAGTTGTGTGTATTAAAAGCTTTGTTAATAATCTACAAGTGGTAGGTGACCTCAGCATTTAGTTCTGTGGTTTAAAGCATGACCAAGATTGTGTTTTTGTTTTCCCCATTTTACAGCTAAAAAGTATGATGTTAAAAATACTGACAAAAACGAGTTGTTGCTATAAATATGTGAATCAAATGGGAATTTTCTGGACTTTGTTATTATGAACATTGCACAAAGAAAAAGCCAATGCATCACACCAGAATGTCAGTGGGATAGAGTACTGAGCCAAAGGAAAAGGGCAAAGAGCCCACTTTGGTACACCTGGAGTAGATTACACACATGGGGTTGATCTTTCCCTTGAAGCCAAAAAGCTCTGGTAATGTGCTCTCCACAGTACATGATAGAGCAGGGTAAAGCTGGAAATTAATCACCCAGTGCTACCAGAGCAGTTCATTACATGCAATTGACAGCTTCCTCTCTGTATTTTTAGATGGCTAAGAATCAAGTAGTTGCACATCAAAATGTGATTTTTTTTCTTGCTTCTTGGCACAGGACCCGTATCTGTCATCATTTCATGTCCTCAAAGGCCTGAGAGAAGCTGCCATCCTTGGGCAACAAAGGATGCCATGCAAAGCAGCTCAGAACTTGAGTTGTTTCAACAGATGCTGTTTTATGTTTTGCCAAAGAATGGCCCCTTTTATTTCTGTCATGAATGCAGTCTTTCTTTCAGTTTCTAAATGTTTGCCAGTATTAACCCTAATCCTTATCTGTCATTCTTTTAGGATGATGGGCTGTCCTTTTTCCTTTGGAACCAGCATAACCTTCACCATGTAAATATGGATTGCAAAGAAATGGAAACGTGGTGCTGTTCACCTTACAGCCCCTGATGATTTCTTATAGTGGGGGAGAGGGGGATTGCACTTCAAGGTCAGAGTAGCTGAGCCACGTTATTCCAGTGTAAGAAAAAATGCTAACATTGAAATGAGCAATTTTCCCCTGTAAAGATTCTCTGCCTAGGGGAATAGAAAGATCAGAAAAGGGAGCTGGTGGAGGAAAGAACTAGAATAAACAAAGCAAGCTCAGAACAATTTATTCCTATGTTTGTTTACTGAAATAGAACCAGGAAGGACCGATGAAGGTCTGAATTAATGTAATTTATAAGAAGAGAGGCTCCCCTCCAAGGCAATGAAGTGATCTCTTTCCAAATATGTAACCAGGAGTGGCTCCCTATAAACCCAAGGCATGTCAGGGCAAAGATGGTATTCCAGATCTTTACAGCCTCCCCACTTTTTGCCTCAGAGAGAGTTCCTAATTCACCATTTAGGGATTCAGAATTGTTAATCAAACTTGCTCTGATGAAATTTTGAGGGTTGTTCTGTTTCTTGTCACAAGTTGAATTGTTCAAAAGCACTGCATCACAGATCTGATTTTCCGCATTGCGCTAGCATTTTCTTACCTTGGGGCAGGCAAAGGGCTAGTCAAACTTTAAAATTGGAACTTCTTCCATTTTTTTCCCTCAGAGCATTTGAAGTTTTTTTGTTTTGTCTGTTTGCTTTGTGTCTGTTACATTTCTCTATTTTGCTTTTCAAGTGCAAAACTACTGTGCTGGAGATGATAGAGGGGATACATAAAGGGGGAAAATACATGCTCAAGGAAGTTCACAGAGTGGATACTCTATATCCAATAATAACAGTGAGGAAAGAAAGAATGCAGTTGAAGATATGAGGGGCAGAGTAATACAGAGATTTTCACAGATTTAGAGGATTGCTGCCCAAATCCTTCTGTTTCTCTCTTTTTGTTCCTAGTGAGAGTTGTTAAAATAGCTAACATCAACATGCCTATTCTGCACAGAGGAAGGATATATGAAGAAAGCAAGAAACCACTAGCCTATGTGCAGGGTGATATGCCTTACAGCCATGCTCAGTTACTATTTTTGATCGTGGGCCTAGAAATAACCATCTGGGCAATCAGACTTTTGCATTGACATGCAATGTTGGCTAAATCCACAGGCAGCTGGCTGAGTACTATTTAAACTCAGTGCTGAGATGGGAGTAGGCCCTGACAGGCAGTAGTTAGGGGACACTCATCTATTCTACCCATGTCAACAGTAATGATACTGTAATTCTTTCCAAAATGTGGTCCTTTTTGCTATGTTTTGACAAGCTGGCTGTTATTCTAACTTTCTGTATTATTGGAAACACACAGACTAGACATTGATACACATATATGCATATGCATGTGTTTATATGGCTGTATACAGTTATGGAAGAATCCATGAGAGTCAATCATCCATATTTATTAAGTATGTACACTATGCAAAGCACTTTATTGTGTGATATAGAAAAATATGGAAAAATTGTAAGCACACTAAGTCCAGGAGAGGTTGATTCACCTATTTTCCAGAACCTCACTTTGTGTTTCTATTAAGTGACGTATAGGGATCTGGTGGCATCCAATATCATTTCTAGGTCTTTAATTCTATGATTCCATCATTTTGGATGGAAATTAAATATACTGTTAAAGACATATGGACTGGATTCATGGTTACAAGCATAAGCTTTGGTGTCAGATTCATTTTAAATACAAGTGCGGCTTCTGCCACTTTAAAGTTCTATGACCCTGTGGCATTTATTAAATTGGGCTTTAGTATCCCCAACTATAAAATAGGAAATTGTAATTGTGATCTATCTCATAGGGTTGTTTTATATATTGAATGTGATAAAGCATGTAAAGCATTTTTCAGAAATTGTGGTAAAGGACAATTATTACAAAAATGTTAGCGCTTTTATGCTATCATGATGGTAGTTATAGAAGCATTGAAAACTGGGAAAAGTAAGTCAGCAGAACTCAATAAACTTGATTCCTTTGCACTGCCTTTTTTGTTGGAAAACTGTTGACTGGATAGATTTTTTTCCTCTCCTGGGGGAAAAGTGAAGTTGTGAATTTCTTTGTACATTTCAGAAGTAAATGAGACGATCTCATGTATAAATCACTGAATTCATATTAGTTCTAATCATTCCCACAAATACATCCAGGCTTTATGTGAGGCAAATACATGCATTTATTGAATCAGTTCATTAGCAGTGAAGATATATGTATATGTATATGTGTATAAACACATAAAATCGTTTTGGCATTTGTATGTTCATAGGAAAGAGCCAGGAACTATGGATAGATTAGAAGTCAGAAAATGCAGGTTTAAGCAGAGCTCTGATACTAACTTGCAGTGTCATTGTGGATAAGTTACTTAATCTTTCTAATCTCAGTTTACTTCTTTGTGCAACTAGGGCTTTACCTATTAACTGGTCTCAGCTCTAACACTGCTGTGAAGTCTCATGACTCTTTGTCAACAATAGCTCCATGAATGATAACCTAAGATAACTACAATGAACTTCATTCTTGTATAGATCAATGTTTCTCAAATTAGAATGGGAAATCTCAAGAGTCCAGACAATTTCAGCTCAATCAGCAATCTCAAGACCTCCTGACCAAAAGTTGTCCTGTTCATATGGCCCTGTCTCCTCCACCCCCTGCAGCCAAAAATCCAATAGACATTCACTGGGAGCCAGCTGTTGTCACGCACTGCACTTGACGGTAGAAATTTAAGATATAAAATACATTTTCTAATGAGGAAGACATGTCATATTTACATTGTCTTAAATGCTAGGCAAGCACACAGAAAAACTACTAAATATTTCTGGTAAGGTCTGATAAATTGACACGCGGGTTTCTTTGGAGATGCGCCTTAAAGGATGTCAAAGAATTGATCTGGTGGATAAAGTAATGAGGAGACAGTGGAAGTTCTCATGCAAAGGAAAAAAAACAATTGTAAAGATACAAAGGTGTGAGAAATCTTGATATAGTCAGAGAATAGAAATTACTGTGGATGTGAAATAAAGAGCATCGGTTAAGAGACCAGATACCAAAGTCAAATGGTCTAGGTTCAAATACCAGCTCCATCACTTAGGTGCACATGCTGGGCTAATTATTTGACCTCTCTGCTTCAGTTTCTTCATTTGCAGTATGAGAATGATAAGGTATTGTAAGGATATATTTTTGAAACATACTCAGTCAATATGAGCTATTTTCTTGAGTATCAAGTAGAGGGGGTTAGTGAGACAATAGAGCGAGGAGACACTAAAGAGGTAGATTGTAATCTGATGACAACCAGAGGCTGTCTTATGCCTTGTCAAAAAAGGTCTCCTAGATGTGCCGATGGGGATTTATGCTGGAGAGTCCGGTGGCCATATTAATGGCATTGTGGCAGGAAGGAAAAGGGAAAATTGGAAGAGTCTTTTCATAAAAAAATAAGAGTGGAGGAATAGTCCAAAATTTTGCCTTAGGTAACCAGATGAATTGCAACCATTAACATCTGAGGCAACATCTGAAGAGGAAGTGCGTTATTGGGAAATATGATAAATTTAATTTCATTGCATTTACAGTGTCTGTGGGACATCAGCTGGAGGTATTCAATGAATGTCTGGATATAGAGCAATGTCTCAGAAGAAAGTCTAGAAATAGTGCTGTCCAATAGAAACCTACTGTGACCCTCAAATGCAAATTATTTAGTACATTAATTACGTTTTATTTAACACAATATATCTAAAATGTTATTTCATCTTGTAATCAATACAAAGTTATTAAGATGTTTTCTTGCCAGATCTTAAACTTGGTGTGTAATTTTATACTTAGCACATCTCAAGCCATATGTCAGATGCTCGGTAGCCGTATGTGGCTTGGGGACTACCGTATGGGACAGTGCGGTTCCAGAATATGGTAATGGGGAGGATTTATACATTTAGCAATGGTCAGTTGAAAGACTGCAGACACTGTGCTAGGAGCAAGAATTCAGTGATGTGTAACACAGACACATTTTCTCCTTCACTAAACTTTCAAGTTATTAGGGAATAGCAGTTCTGCTGGCCTTAATGTTCTTTCTGTGCAAATTAAATAACAGTGAAGTCACTGGGCAGAGTTGTCCCAAACCAAGTATCACAGAGCACACATGAGATTTCTGTGCCTCTTTTTTTGTTTGTTTGTTTGTTTGGAGATGCAGTCTCTCTCTGTTGTCCAGTCTGCAGTAGTGTGATCTCGGCTCACTGCAACCTCCGCCTCCTGGTTCAAGCGGTTCTGCTGCCTCAGCCTCCCAAGTAGCTGGGATTACAGGTGCACACCACCACGCCTGCCTCATTTTTGTATTTTTAGTAGAGATGGGGTTTCACCATGTTGGCCAGGCTGGCCTCAAACTCCTGACCTCGTGATCCACCCTCCTCGGCCTCCCAAAGTGCTGGGATTACAGGCGTGACCCACTGTGCCCGGTTGAGATTTCTATGCCTCTTTACCCTCTCTGCCCTGAAACTTTTTGTAGTACAAATCATACAAAGTCATAAGTGGGGATGTCACAATTTACCCCGTCAGGGAAAGCAGACATTTACAAGTACTTAAAATAAAATGAGAATGTTATAAGGGAAGAAACTCATGTGAGGGGACTTGGTTGCTTAAAGATCAGGAATGTCTCTGAAGTAATGACATCTAAGCTGGGAACTGAAGGATCACCAGGAATTAGACCAATGGGAATGTGGGTGGGTATTCCAGGCAGAAAGTAGGATACATTTGAAAGTACAGAGGTGAGGCCCTCAGGGAAAGTCGTGGAGCTAAGAGAGATTTGGACCATATGTGGAGAGGAAGAGAGGAAGGACATGAAGTTAGAGGGTCTAGGGACTTCTCTGCAGGGTGGATTAAGGGATCAAGGGACACACAGAGCCAGGGATACTAATGATGTTAGTAGACAGCAAGAGATCTTGGAAGGAACCTGGGAAGGGGCAGTCAGAAATGCAGAATAAAAACCAGAAATGAGTAATGACATACAAGACAACTAGTGAGGGAAAATTCACTTTGTGAAAAGGGCCAACAATGTGTCAACTACAGCAAGGAAGTCAAGGCTGAAAAGGCTAAAAAGTGGCTGTGGGATCAATTAATGAAGGCAGCGTTGAGGCCTTGGTGAGCACAGTTGTGAGAGAAGAGGTAGAAACCAAATCGTAGCAGTGGAAAAACAAATGAAGCTTGAAGAACAGAAGGTGTTTTAAAGAAAGCTGTCTGTTGGGAAGTGAAGGAAGGTGACGTTCCTACAAAAAGAGAAGTACACCATAACGTTGGTGAGAGTTGTTTGCTCTTTTATTTTATTTTTGTTTTTAATCGTGGGATACTAGCACATCTCTAAACTTCATATTCCCACTGTTCTCTGTTCTCTCTTCAACTCTGTTACAGAAAACGATACATCTGGTCCTTTTTTTTTTTTTTTTTTTTTTTTTTTTTTGAGACGGAGTCTCACTCTGTCTCCCAGGCTGGAGTGCAGTGGTGTGATCTCGGCTCACTGCAGCCTTCACCTCCCAGGTTCAAGTGATTATCATGCCTCAGCCTGGTACTATAGGTGTGCACCAGCACGCCCAGCTGATTTTTTGTATTTTTAGTAGAGACACGGTTTCACCATGTTGGCCAGGCTGGTCTCGAACTCATGATCTCTGGTGATCTGCCTGCCTTGGCCTCCCAAAGTGCTGGGATTACAGGCGTGAGCCACCATGCCCAGCCCATCTGATACCCTTTAGAAATGGACACACGAGTCAGAAGGTGTTATTGGATTCTCCTTGTTAACTTATTGCACAACTTGGGGCCTTGTGATTGAATGGGTGTTGAATTTGGATACACAGGATTGAGTCATCAAGGGACCATCAGAGGAAGAGCCTAGTAACCACTTTCTTTTCCCTCTGTCTATCATTGTCCTCCCAGGTATGAGTGAAATCATTCATTTTTCACTGAACGCTTACTTCATGCTGGGACCTAAGCAACAACTGTGGCGACAATGGACTTATTGGTAATTTACTATGTGCAGACACTCTCCTCACTTTTTGACAGGTATTGTCTCACTTAATCTGTCTCAAATCCTTATTGGACATATACTATTATTTCTTTGGCTGAGCAATAAGAAAAATTGAGAGAGATTTAAAATGCCAACTAGAGGTTCATGGCTGCATCCATCAGGCCCACAGACTCTAAAACATGCTCATAACCACCATGCTACCTACACAATAGGAATACATAATAAAACAGCAGATGTACCTTAGTCCATTATCATTTCATGGTGGAACCTTAACCAACACTCTTCCCTTGAAATTGTTCCCAGATTAACTCCAACCATCCCAAGGCTCTGGTTTACCATGCCATTATGCTTCCTTTTGATCATATGTATTGTTTTTGTTGGATGTTGCTATATAGTGTTTTTAGTTTTTCATGTGGATATCCTGCCGAATGTTTATTATCCTTGTTTGCGTACCTGGTGGACGTAAGGCCTCTCTCAAATTTCTCTCTGTCTTTTTTTTTTCCTTAACATTCTCAGGTTTTAAAAAATCATTTAAATGGAAGGGTCACATGAAATTAGCTTCTCTACTAATTTGGTCTTGTTTTTCTAATCATGGTTGGGTGGAGCGCCCTGTCTCCTGAATCCTCTTTCCTTTTTCAGAGAACGTTGATTAGATGACCAAAAGTGCCCGGCCCTTTGCCAAGTGTGATAGAAAACAGGGAGAAGGTATCATCATCGTTTCACAGATGCCTACATTCCAAAGGATCTCATCAGAGCATAAGAGCTCTTCCAGGTAATTAGTAATTGGTCCTCACAGCACCCCTGGGAAGTACTGGGTAGGCAGCAAAGCTACACAGAGCATAAATGAGCCTTTCCAGAGTGCAAGACAATTTCCTCCTCAGTGATGGGGACAATGATAGTGATCCACCTTGCAGGGGTGTCAATTATTCACAATCTAAAAGCCCTGAGAATTACGAACCTCACTAGGAATATGTATACACAGTACACTTGTAATGTACTTAATTGGCATTCTCCTTTCCCCTGCCCTGCTACCTGCAAATCACACCACAATGACACCCTTGGGTTTACCTTTGGTCCTGGTTATTGACATAGAGCCTGTCTCCCTGCATCAAAGATCTGCCTGGATCACACAACAGAAGAACAAACCTGCCAGGTGTTGATGAGCTCATGACAAGCAACCTAAATGGAATTCTGACAGGCCTTCCCAGCCTTCTACATAAACATAATGAATCAACACAGAATACACACTTAGTAAGCTACAAGTAAAGCAGAAAGCAATGTATGAGGATAAAGGGAAAAACAACAGATTGATCCAGCTCAACGATAGGAATTGCAAAAATCATTCTGAATGGTGCAGGGTGCAAGTGAAATATTCCAAATAAACTTCTGTTAACAATTGCCACCAATGACCCATTCACCTTTGGATTCTTTTTACTTGAGCCTTTTTTATCTCCTCCCTCTGTCCTATACCCTACCTACCTTATTTTCATCTTTTTATGTGTAACTATCCAATCTCTCTGACGAATTGAAATTGTGAGCTTCAGGCAAGGAATATGTCCTGTATGTTATTTTGATTCAATTAAATTAGAAACAGTCACAAAAACAAAACCGCCATTTCTGCTCCACCACTCTTCACCTGTGGAATTGCTTATGCATTTCATTATTGGCACATTCACCATTCAATTCTTTCCATCTTCTTTGTTTCAGCACTTCTTCTTTATTCAACTCTTCATTTCATGCAACAGCTGTTATTGGACGTGTTCACACACAGACTAGGAAATTGTTTGCCACAGAGACAGTTGCAGGAGTAGCCTCAATAAAATAAATGGAAATAGCATTTCTGGATAAAAGAACTCTTCTATTAGATATTACTGACTCTATCTAAATATCTGAGTTCCTTAAAGATTTCTGGGACAGGTCTGTGTAGAAGGGAGGCTCAGTATAAAGGAAGAGGAGAGGAAACTGAATGATCATCAGAGGCAGAGCCAGAAGTAAGGTGAGAATTGATAAATGAACTATTCACAGAAATGTCTTTCAAAATGTAATTATAAACCATTCTTTAGAATGTAAGGTTTTTACACAAAAACACCACTACCTAGTACCTTCTCTCCCAAATGTATGCAGTGACATCGTCTCAACCTGGAACCCTTTAGAGAGGAGTCATGCTAATACTATTACCTCTATAATTTCCAGATGTGATGCAATAACTAAAATAGATCATCCTTTACCAAAGAAGAGAGGCAGAAAGACAGAATCAGGTAAATTAGAGCTGATAGGTCTTGGGACAATTGCACAAGCTCTTCAAACCTAAGTGATTAGAAAGTGTCCATGTTTTTCATTAGTCAAATACTTGCCACATGATCATAAACCTGACCTCTGGTTGATTGCCTGCATAAAGGATTCAGTGACCAAGATGGAAGTCGTTATATTTGTCTTAGGAAAATAAGAAGTGAGCTCACGCATTTTAATTTTAAATCTGCATTGAATAAAAAACTCTGAAAACACAGAGCAAGTTATAAATTCAGGAAGAAATGATTTCCAGGACTCTCTTTCTAAACAGAATGCATTAAAGTAGCTGGAAAATTGTCCATTGTAGAGCTAAACAAAGATGCTTCATTTCTCATCCCTTTCCATTAAGTGAGAAAATAGAGCACGCCAACCAAAGAAATCAAAAATAACTCTCCTCAGCAAGCTTAAGGAACATTTTCCACAGCTTAGGTCATTGGTCATTGGGATCAAATGAGAGGAAATTTTGAGCATTCCACCCAGAGCTCATGGTGGGGTCCACAGTGTGTGTGGATATAGACAGCATGCATTTGTGAGAAATCAGCCTCAGAATGTGCTTGTCAAAGCCAATTTAAAAATATTCTATCACACTGTTAGGAAACACCTCATTATGAGAAGGAACTCTGCTTTGGGGTGGTTGGTATAAACAAACACAACGTTTTAACTTTATAGATTAATGCATACCTGATATTTTGTATAATACTTTAAAGACCGGGTATCTTAGGAGATCTGAGAACATAGAAACCAAGAAACATATTAACTCCTGTAATGGAAATGCATAAAACATAAACTTAATAAGCACCAAGCTACAATGTATTTTTGTGCCTGGATTATCCAATTGAGATATTTACATATATTAAAGTTACTGTCAGTTCTCCATATCACTTTTGTGCTTATAAATCCGGTGAAAAAGGGGCCCAGGCATTAATATATTATTTATTCACTTATTTGCAAGATGTATCTAGCACATAGCCTTTAAATAGCTAACAGCATTGTGTCTGGGCACTCTGCACTTGCAATATTTAACATTAGGTCCTTGGTAACAAGCAAGTAAGTGGGGGATTGTTCCGACTTGTTCGAGTATTGTGGCCATGTGGAGGGATAAAACAATTTGGATTTATTGGAATGAATTCCAATTAGAAAATAAAAGAGTAAACCATGACATGGTTCAAACATTTCTAATTAATATTCTGATGAACGATAATTCTGTGTCCCTAAAGATACTAAATTCATGTTAATATTGGATATAACAGCCCATTGAGACACTATCCTTGGGTGGAATTGACACTGATCACATTTCAAGGTAGGTTTATGGTCAGGTAACAAAATGTTTATGCACTCATACACAGCAATAGCAGAAAAATTCTACTTTCTTTTTTTTTTTCTGATAAGAAGAAACCTCCCAGGACGTATCTGTGGCCCCTTGAGAGCTTCTGGTTGTTTTTCACGTCTGCCTGTATTCACTTCTTCCCTCCATTCCTTCTCTGAATGATCTGTAGGTAAATACCTCAAAATTATTCACAGCATTGTAGTCTCAGCACTGTATTGCTATAGGATGTCATGCTGGGTTGAAGGGTGAGATTTTAGAGGCACAGGGGAATGAAACAAGGTGGCCAATATCACATAGGCAGTTAGTGAGCAGAGGAACCCTCTGAGTTCCTTCCTTCTTGTGGTCATTAGGGAGTGAACATGGACTTGGTTTCAATTAAGGCTTGTGCTGACATCCAATGTCTATTGAAGGACTTTGTGCATATTGCACAATGCTCTTCCGGTTGGGATAGCTTCCTCTGTGTTAGGTGACCCAGTATCCTACTGGAGTCTTTCCTCCAAAATGGGTGGGAAGCAGAGGGTTTTTGTTTGTTTGTTTGTTTGTTTTTTTGTTTCAAGTATATAAGGGAAGAAATCCACTGTTCCTAAAGGAGAAGAGAATTCCTATTCCCAAGTATTTCTTGCAGAGAGAAACACATGTCCACTGGGCTGCTGAGCTCAGGTACTCT
Organism: Homo sapiens; assembly: GCF_000001405.40. Lineage (NCBI taxonomy): Eukaryota > Metazoa > Chordata > Mammalia > Primates > Hominidae > Homo > Homo sapiens. Next base: position 22,668,308 of record NC_000006.12, read on the forward strand.
GTGAAAGGGAGCTGGGAGTTTGGGCCTTATCCTCAAAGAATAATCGAAAATACTTGCACTCTGCACTGGGTGATCTCACAGTCCTCTCTATCGGTATCTCTGTGGATATGGCTCTTCAGAATCTGCCAGCACCTTGGAAGGACTTCAAACCACATCTTTTCAGCAATGACCTGAGTTTACATGGTCTCTCTGTGACAGCAGCCAAGTGATCTGGCCCGGATTTTTGTTCCATGCCTGAACTCATTCTTTGCTGATAAAGTTAAACCTATTCTGATTGCCTATTTTTGCATCTTGTGCATTCCACAGGGAATTCCACAAGTTCAGGATAGCTCTCACTCAGTACTGCTCTATTTGAAAATGCTACATGGAATCCTGGTTACCACCACCAAGGCTTGTACATCTCTGCCTGTTTTCCTGAAAATTGATCTCCCAACTCATTTTGCCAGGTCATCTAGTTTTGTTCTGAGGTTAAATGTACTCAAAGTAAGAAGAGATATTTTCCCTCTGTATTTATTAGATGAAAGTATTGTGGCCGAAGACATGTCCTGGGGACACACTTTCCTGCTACCCCTTCCCCTTCCTGGTGCACGTCTGCTCTGAAGCACACAGCACACTGTAACACTGCAACATGTCAGAAGGAAGCTGTAATGAGGTGTGATAAGGCCTAGTTCCAATCCTGTATTTAACTCCCCGTTTGCATTTAGGTAAATCTTTAAAATCTCTTTAAACTGCAGGTTCCTCATATCAAGCTCAAGGAGATGTCCAGTGTACTGTGTGGGCAATATATGTAAGAGTGTTTAAAAACATTTTAAAAGGCAGATTAGTACAAGTATAGAGTAGTTTTTGACATAGAGTGGTATACGGCAGTTATAGAACAGTCATTGCTTTTCATTTTGTCTGTCTTTCCTCTCCTTCTTTTTATTTCTGCTGGCTCATCCCTTTTTTCAACTTGCTTGAATTAGTGACATCCAGCTATACATCAGGTATATGGCAAGTCCTGGGAATTGAAGATTAATAACACAGCTCTCTATTCTTCAATAGCTTATAACCCCATCATAGAGACCCACCAAACCAGTGATTACCCTGTGAACACCCTGACAAGGGCATCTAAATGAGCTGTTAGCATCAGACAAGTCTTCCTGGATGAGTTGATATTTCAAATGAGGTTTGAAGGAAAGGATGCAGGAGATAACAAGTTGAAGAAGAAATTGTTCCCATTAAAAGAAAATGGTGCATACAAACGCTCGTGGATAACACAGCATTAAGTATTTGGGAACCTAAATCAGCTGGCATTGCAGCAGCACAATGTATTGGAGAGACAGGGCCGGGAATGAGGCTAGAATGATGGTCAGGGCCCTCACCAGTGATATGAAAAATCTTAGTCTTTATCCAAGGCTTAAACAATGACTTGTTTAAGGAGAGATCAAATCTGTGTCTTGCATGTGTGCATGCCTGTGGGTTGTGGGGACCAATTGCCATATAATATTTTTCATTTTGAGATGATCCATTTGTACTCTCTATCCTCAAATATATAAATTAACTGGTTCGGTGATGTCCTTCAAGGTGATTGAAGTTTTAATCCATCATAAAATGAGAGTAATTTGAATTTCTTAAAATTGGTAGGTGTTTCAGTGGCCTGGCTTGAATTAGTGATTTGATTAAAATCCAAATGTGAGGAAATAGAACTTCACACTCCCAAACCACAAGCACAATAGCCATTCAATTGGACTCATTAGGGCAGTTGTAGTCATTATGTCATGGGACAAATAGGTGTGGTGACTAACTTAAATGACCATTCATGGCATTTATTTTAAAAGAACTGAATTTGAAAAACACTTGTAATGGCTCACTCAGTCATGAATAAAGACACATTAATTTTCACTTAACAAAATATTTAATTCCCTTAAATAATTTCAAAATAAAATGCAGCCATCATGATGAAAAATGGCCCTCCAAAAATAATGATGATTAGGATTAGATATTAATCATGATAGAGATTATGGACCATCACATTACTTTGCTCAATATATTGACTCTGCTCTGTCAATTTCTAGGCTTTCCATATTTTTTAGCTATTCTGATGGTAAAAATTAATTTATGGAAATTAATTTATATCTAAATGAAAGTAAACCAATTAACAATAGGAAGCTTTTAAGGGAAAGGTTTTTAATTATTGCCAGTGTTATTTTTAAAGGCTTGTGATTTCTATTAAATTTTTCCAACCCCTGTTTCTGTAATTTATTGGTGCTAAAGACAGTATTTTATTAATTCAGCAATGAAGATTCATTGTATGTTCTGTACTCACAAATTATTTGGTTTTCTTTCTCCTTTTCCTTCCCTTCCTCTTTTTCTACCTCTTTCTTCTTTTACTATTCATTACATGTAATCTTTTTTTACCCCCATACAATCTTTGGCACTGATTTTTGTCAAGCTTTTGGACAAACGCCTCTTCTTGCTTATTTTTGGATACAGAGTTTCACCCCATGGGAATTAATTTCCTGACCTCTCCTGACTTTTAATAACTAACACACCCACTCTAACCGACATCTATCCAGTTACAGTCTATTCATAATCTTGGAAATTAGTTGAGATTACTTAAAAATATTTGTCTATTATTAACGTAGGAATAGCAACTTAGGCACATTTCCGGGTATTTCTTTTTTCAGGTCAAATTGAACAAGTTCTGTGCCTTATGCTCCAAGAGACCCACAATAAATAATTTCATAATTTTTCAAACCAGATACCCATGTAGAGGTACATAATGATTCTTCATTTGAAACCAGTACACATGTAGTTATAAGAATCTTTTACTTCTCCGTAAAGCAATTAGTAGCAACATTAAATCCAAGGCCTTTTTATTTTTGTTTTTTAATGACAAGCATTTTTACCATGCATTTCCAACTTTTTGGCTGGAACTACGCTCAGTGCTCTGCAATTTATATTTTAGCCTCTATAATGTTAGATATTAATATATGCATGAAGAGTTGTAGTGAATGTAATTACAGTGGCAAAATGATAAACACATAGCTATTTTGCCTGGTAATATTATGTATTTTAACAGGTTTATTTGTTCAACAGTTCTAAGTTTAATTACATTTTGCCATTTGGGATTTTTAGACATACAACAATCATAGCTCTTCTCTGGCTATTAGTCTAAGAAGATTGCATTCATTATAAAAATAATCCGTATTTGTTTATTTAATTTTTTTTCTTAATGCTATGCAAGTGAACTAAGAAATGATAAGTTTCTGTGCTGCTGGTATTATGTGACTCATTTGAATGCTAAACAAATCATTCCCCATTCCTACCTGTGGCAGTGAAAGATGCTCAACAGGGCTTTTGCCCCAGGACTGCTCAGTCTTAGGGACGGTGCTGTATACTCTCACACAGACATGGAGCTAGTCCTCAAAACCTTGGTTCTAGATCACTCTGAAAATACCAAATGCTTTGGGAAGCAAGCTAACAAAAAATAAACAGGAAATGGGTACTGAAGCTAACAAATAGGTGCAGAGGGCCAGTCTCCGTAACAGCCAAGCTCAGTCCTTTTGTGCTCAACTGCAGCAAAATAACCTCTGAAATTATTCCCTGCCATGGAGTGAACAGAAGACCTGGGTAAATCTCAAGAAGGTGAGAGAGTGAGCATGGGGTGAGCTCATGTTACATCAGTGAAGATTCCAGAAAGCATACTGATAGCTCTTTTGCAAAGTGACTATTATATGATGTGTTCATTATGTTCATGCTTATGCAGAATGCAATTAAGCTTTTAGTTCCAAAAGCCTTTTTCTGCTTTCCATCCCCAGATACTTATTCGGGAATCTACCTCTGCAATACTCTTTCAGCGAAGCCAAATTATTCCTGCAGTGAATTCTTTTGATAAAAGCAGATTTTTTTTCTAGGTTTGCCCAAAAGATACGTTCTATTTGGTTTACACAATGTTATTGTTGGAAGTATGACTTACATGCAATCAAATGCGCAGATCTGGTGTTTGACTTGATGAACTGTACTTATGTATATACCCATGTAACGACCTCTCAGATCAAGAAGTAGAATATTTCTGACTCCCCAGATGGCTCTCTCATATCTCTCTTCAGCACTCCCCCATTCCACAGGATAACTTGTATAGAATTTTTTAATTTATAAAAGTAGATTTAAGGTTAAAAAGATGGTGATGACTTTTGATAATATCGCAATCAATTTTTAGTATTTTGACATCCAGGTATTTAAGTACAACTCTTTATCCCTGATAAATAGAACTGCAAAACACATTTTAATGAAAGAGACAAAAGTTCTTCCTCATTCATTTGTTAAATATATACTGTAATATATAAAATGTGTTAGAGGCTAGAAATATAAAGATTAAAAACAACAACACACACTGCAGACTCTGGCCTGAAGGGGTTTGCACTTAGGTGCCCTCGGGCTATGATTTTAGCTATGGTTGCAAATATGCATATGTGTATTTGTGCACATGCTACACATACACACACATGCACAGCTTCTATTTATTTTATTCTGTTTTTCCACATACGTAAAACTAAAATAAGATCAGATGATGTGTTCATCATGTTGGATGAACCAGAGTGGCCTTAATAACTTCTTCCCCACCCAGGCTTGAAGTTAAAAGCAGCCTATAAAAGCCACCAGATCAGCAAACACGTTCTGAACCTGATAGTATTTCTCTAGTTTCTTTAGTTTGCACCCTACTGTCTTGGGATGGAATCTGCCTTTGTGCCTACCTTTTTAGTCTGATGTTCATTTGGACCATCTTCTTGGTTCTTGATAACACCTTTTCTTTGTACATTGTGTTTTTGTTCTCTCTTGGCCCATGCTCTGAAGCCCATGGCCATCCCCTCAGACAACTCTGGCTGCTGGCACCCCATTGTGGATTGCACTCTTAACTGTTACTTAAACAAAAATAGAGTTTTGATGGCAGGCTTGTGTTCTAAGTAACAAGATTCTCTTGGCATAAATACTTCCATTTACAATAATTTTTTTAGTTCTCTTGGTTCTTCCAGAAAATACAACATTTTCCTGGGGAATTATCTTTCCAAGGAAATTTCCTTGGAATTCTCTTAGAGAATTTCTTTCTGATTTAACAAGTGGGCACGTCTGATTCTCTTTTCTTGGACAGGTTTTCTTCATACCTTTGCATTACGGTGCGTTGTAGTGAAATTCTTGTTTGTAATAACATGGGCTTTTAATGTGGCCAACAATTCCCAATTACTAAAACACACACACTCCCACACTCATATACTCATAATATCTTAATGTTTTTTGCAGCTGTTGTTTATCCATGAATTATTATTGCAATGCTTAACCGGAGATAGAAACTCACCATGAGCGTATCAACCTTTCCTCTTCAGAAGTTTCACTTCAGTTTGAAAGAAAACGCAACTGGTGAAACAATTGCTGTGTGTCATAAATTATAGGTATCTGACATTCATTACAAGGAAAGCAACAGTCAAATATCATGGGACTCATATTTATTTATGTCTATATTATCTGTAGATATTATAGATAATATATATGTATACTTTGACAGAGAAGGAAGAACACCACTCTGGAGTGTTTAATCTACCATAGTTTGATACTGTCTTTCTTGTTTGTGCCAATTTGAATTACTTGGTTCTGTTTTTTGGTTATCTGCAATTAGTGTGCTATTTATTTCCAGAATAGAGGAAACTGAAGCTTACTCTGTGTACACAAAAGAATACTGTACCCATTCAGTCATGTACAAATAGAGTTATCTCATGGAAAATTCATTTTTTTTCTTGTTTTGGTACTTTTCCTGAAGTTTTAGAATATGTTCTACTTTTGTCTGTGACACAAATTTTGGATCTTTTGATACTGTGGAGGACACACTGCAGTTGAGCCTGCAAACTGATAACTGTCTTTTTGGTGGCACCCTGTCTTGGTCATTACTGACATCAAAGCACATTCTTCCTCCATCCTGATAGGTACATAACATATGGGGTGCAGCTTGCAGTGTGTAAAATATACCATGCAGATATGGACATAAAAATAGACACATTAATCATGGAACAGGATAGAGAACCTAGAAACAAACCTGTGCATTTATGGTCGATTGATTCTCAACAAAGATGCCAAAAACATACAATAAAAAAGGACAGTTTGTCTGATAAGTGGTATTGGAAAACTAGATATCCACAAGCAGAAAAATGAAATTGGAGTCTTATCTAACACCATATGCAAATATCAACACAAAACAAATTAAACACTTAAATGTAAGACATGAACTGTGAAACTACTAAAAGAAAACAAAGAGGATATACTTTACTACATTCATCTGAGCAAAGATTTCTTAGATAGGATCACAAAACCATAGTCAACAAAGAAAAATAAACAAATCAGATTGCATCAAACTAAACAGCTTCTGCACAGCAAAGGAAACAATAGAGCTAAGAGATAGTTCGTGGAGTGGGAGAAAATATTTGCAAACCATATAAGTGGCTAATACCCAAAACATATAAGGAACTCAATGCAATAGCAAGAAAACAAATAATCCAATAAAAATTGGGCAAAGGACCTCAATAGACACTTATCAAAAGAAGACATACGTGGCTGCCAGATATATTAAAAAATGTTCATCATCACTATCATCAAGAAAATGCAAATTAATACCACAATGAGATATCACCCCACACCTGTTAGAATGGCTATCATCAAAAAGACAAAAGATAAATGTTGGCGAGGGAGTGCCGACAAGGGAACCCTTATGCAATGTTGGTGGAAATGTCAATTAATACAGCCGTTATGGAAAACGGTATGGAGACTCCTCAGAAAACTAAAAATGTATCTACCATATGATCCTTCAATCCCACTGGCAGTATATAGTCAAAGGAATTGAAATCCGTATTCCAAAGATACCTGCACTCTCATGTTCATTGAAGCATTATTCATAATGGGTAAGATATGGAAGCACTCTGTGTCCATCAAGGAATGAATGGATCAGGAAAATGTGGTATATATGCACAATGAAATACTATTCAGCCTTAAAAAAAGGGAAAATCCCTGTGATCCCAGCACCTTGGGAGGCCGAGGAGGCGGATCATGAGGTCAGGAGATCAAGACCACCCTGGCTAACACGGTGAAACCCTGTCTCTACTAAAAATACAAAAAATTAGGCGGGCGTGGTGGTGGGCGCCTGGAGTCCCAGCTACTAGGGAGGCTGAGGGAGGAGAATGGCGTGAACCTGGGAAGGTGGAGCTTGCAGTGAGCAGAGATCGGGCCACTGCACTCCAGGCTGGGGGACAGAGCGAGACTCTGTCTCAAAAAAAAAAAAAAAAACCACGGAAAATCCTCTCATTTTTAACAACATGGATAAACCTGGAGGACATTATGCTAAGTGAAATAAGCCAGGCACAGAAAGGCAAATACTGCATCATCTCACACGTATGAGGAATCTAAAAACGTTGAAATTGTAGAAGTAGAGAGTAGAATGATGTTACTAGAAGCTGGGGAAAGGGAGTGGTTGGAAAAAAGGGAGTTGTTGATCAGAGGGTACAAAGTTTCAGTTAGACAGGAGGAATAAGCTTTAGAGATCTATCACATAGAATTGAGACTATAATAATCATAGAGTTGTTAAAGGCATACATTTTGAATGTTTCAACACACACAAAAATGACAAGTATGTGAAGTGATGGATTTGTTAACTAGCCTGATTGTAAACATATATCAAAACATCACATTGTACCTCATAAATATATACAGTTAGTATTTGTCCACAAAAATAAAATTCAAAAAAATAACCAAAAAAAAAAAAAAATACCAGGCTAGTCATTTGTTCATCTTACCATTAAACTGGTGGGTTTTTTTGAAAATAGGTATTTTCTGAGGAATCAAATCAAATAGAATTTGAAACATTAATGAAATAATTTAAAATAATTCTTTAGGAAAAATTAAGTTTTTCAGAAAAGCGCATTGTTGCTTAATTTTGTGAAGTTGATTCACTGCCTTTGGTTTTGAGTTTTGTATTTTACAGAGCATAACAAGGAAGTCAGTATTCCCTTTGTGTGTTCTTAAAATCTTTTAGAAACTGAATATTATTGTTTCATAAATGTATTTTGAATCTAGTCATTTCAAATGCTGTGAGGTATAGATAATAAACCCCTGGTTTCTGACATTCTCTTCTATATAATTGAGTTGTTTGAGCAACTATTTCTCATGTTTGCTTTACACATTTGTGACTTCTTTATCGATTTCATTTTTTTCAACATTTTGGTACACCAGACTTTATTACCTGAGAATAAGTTGAATTTTTCCCATATTTGCTAGAGTGAAATAAGAGTAAATTGCTGCAATATTCCCATTTCAATATGAGTATGTCCTTATGGTTTTTTCAGTATGTTTAAATATTTCCTTAAACATTTTAACCAGAGCTCTCTTTGGAGCATCCTTGACATACTGATATGTAAGAATCATTTTTCTTTTCAAGTTATACATAACAGTTTAATGAACATATATATGTAAAATTAACATTTTTCTTCAAAAGCAAAATTAGTAAGAGTGCACATGAGCAGAAATGAGAAGGAAAGGAGAAAGATACAATAATTCCACTTTAAATTATTTTCCGATATTATTGGAACTTGTTAAAAATGTAAAGCTGGATAATTTGGCCTATTATGTGCCACAGTCTGTGAATTGCTATGAAAGCTGGCATTTAGTCCCTGATTACATACAGGGATAAAGGGCTATGCTACCATGGTCCTACATAGACTACAAGGACTACCATGGGCCACAGAACATTGAAGGAAAAATAGGTGAAGAGAGGCAGTGACGAGATAAGTTCCCTACCTTGCACCCTCTGAGTTCTCTTTGGACTTGTGGAAGAGAACAGCTCATACACATGCTGTGTGTAAATAACAAAAACATAAAACTGAAGCAAGGTCCTTGTAAGAAACCGTTTTTGTGTGTCATCATTTTTCTGCTTTGCACAGGCCAACATTTATAATGAGTATATTTCTGGGTAAAGCAAGCATGAAGAAAGACTACAATACAAATTCCATAAAAGGCTATAGAGTGTATGAAATTCATGACCAATACTGACTACACAAAAATCTTAATTTTGCACCCAGATAATTCTTAGCATTTTAACTAAATACAGCTTAGCTCACACTAAGTGATTCTGCATGTCCTAGTTAAAATTAGGAACAACATGAAAACTAGTTAAGTGGGTTCCTACAAAACAGTGTAAAGAGAAAGTCCTCTCACTGACAAGCAATTAATTTATAAGCACAAAACCCATATTTGTACTATCAAAATTACAAATGATATTCAACAATCATTTTTTGCTGGGTGAAGTTTCAATCACTAGCTAACTTCAAAATTTTAGTTTAAAGAAGGAGAAAGAGTTGTTTGGTCTAAAGAGGAGAGAGATTGTTTTATCAAAAGCCCAAGTCATGCCTGTGAATAAAATGAGTAAATAAAATAAAATTTCTTGCTTCATTTGTGTGCTTTATGTAAGTTAATAATGAAAAACTGGCTATACCCAGAATCTAGCAGATCTTAATAATATAGTTATTAGTAATTAGCTGATAAATATTATATATTTATTCATACCTATTGTCTTAAGCACAAGTATCAGACTTCTTTTCAGATAAAAAAATGAATTCATTGTTTGGATTTTGAAACAGCAACATGGCATAGCCTATAAGATGTTGAAAATTATAAGCAGATTCCAACATAAGCCATCCCTGTAACAAATGCAAAAACACTTACATACTTTATAAATTATTCTGTATTCTTAAGTTCAAAAAATTAATACAAATTTATATTGTAGAATCAACACACATTTTTATTGTAGAAATTAAATTTTTTTGAATAATGTATTTAAAGTAACATATTCTCAGAAGTTTATACTTTATAAAAAATAGCCACGACTGACTTGTTTTAAATTATTCCGGTGATTACTGTACTTAGAAATTTATCCAAATGTTTTTTCATATTACCATTTTCTGCTTAGGCATTGAATTACTGGTGCAATTATTTGAAAAAATATACATATATATGTATATATATATGAAAAAATTATATGAAAAAATATACAACTGGACTCTTGAAAGAAGTAACCAAAGAATTTATACAGATAGCTGAAAGTAAAGGTGGCTTTCTGGAATCTTCAAATAATCTCAACACTCTCCTGTTTCCTCTGTAGGACTGGGGACACTCAGAGGTCCTCAGGTTAGTGGCTTGTGTTTGTAGTGGGCGTGTCTAGATTCACAAAGCCCTAGTTGTCAGTCTGGGATGTCAGTGTTTAGAACGCAGCAAGTTTATAGAAAGACAAGCAGGAGGTGGGGTGGTCAGGGCATGAGGGTATTCAGAAGTTACACCACTATCTCCAAACCCCTGGCTTTACGTAGTGAGAGGGATTGGTGATAGCACAACCCTATGGAAAATGTTTCTGGAAACAGGACCCTCAACTTGAGCCCCAATCCTTTTATCTCACCCTATTCCTTACAGGTTCTGTAACTTTGGATAAGACTCTTAACCACTCTAAATCTTATTTTACTTACCGTTAAAACAGGAATAATAGTTGTTGCCTTTTAGGGTTGTTGTAAGAATAATATAAAGTTATAAATGTTTAGTTCAGTGTCAGTTGTAGAGTAAGGACTCAATAAATGGTAGCTATTACATTATAGCTATTTTATTTCCCTTTGTAGGCTATGTAAAGCATCTATTTACTTATTCAGAGGTATCTATGTCCAAAGTTTGGCTTGACATGAATTTCTGTGATTATCAGATAGCAGCATATTCATTATGGAGGGATTAGCCAATAAATAACACCCAGTTGACATTTGGGAAAATGTTCTGAAAATCACAGAAGGCTGAAATTTATGGGAACATACTGAACACCACATTAACCATTATATATAAAAACATGTCATTAGGCTTTAAGGAAGAAGGAATGCTGCTGGTGTTGGATTTGAAGTGCCATTTTGATGCCATAAAAACTAGGAACCTCCCTACAGGTGTATGATCAATTGAGTGGTGTAAGATGGGGCTCGAGGAAGACTTTCCTGATGGTTGTTTGATGGTCAGCAGAATCTAGGAGGGTAAGAAATAAGAATCTCCAATTGAGAAGTTTACACAAGTAATAGAGTCTTATTTTCTGACATTATGGACCTAATTTTCCTTTAGACTGGCCAGTGTAGGTCCTTAGAGATATTGACTTACAGAGATAATGGCCCTCTTCTAGATGCCATGTATTAACAATGTGAATCCTTTGGGATTCTTCTGCATACCATGTATGGTCTCAGAGAAAGTCATGAACTATCAACAATTTTATAATTTTCTTGTGTATTTCTTTCCTTTTCTATTATACTTTAAGTTCTGGGCTACACGTGCAGAACATGCAGGTTTGTTACATAGGTATACACGTGCCATGGTGGTTTGCTGCACCCATCAACCCATCATCTACATTAGGTATTCCTCCTAATGCTATCCCTCCCCTAGCCCCCCACCCCATGGCAGGCCCCAGTGTGTGATGTTCTTGTGTATTTCTAAAGCACTAAACTTTTTTTTCTTGAGAAACCTGTTAGCTAGAATTTGTAAATTTTGCCAATGAAAGAACCAGGGAACCAAAGTATCCACACAGATTTACAAAGCAAATCTTTGCAAAGCTAAGCCTCACAACTTTTGAGCCACTGCTTTAATTCCCACTCTCATCACTTTGGTCATACAGACCCTTTTGAACAAAATGGAGCATACTCATATTTATAACCCATCACACCAACTTCTTGGAAATCCAAGTATAATTTGATGTACCTATGTGTTTCCCAGAATTGCTTAGTGAGGCAGTTTCTGGCTATGACCAAAATTGAAAACATATAAGTATTCAAACAGGACCAAATGCTATTTCCACCCAACTTAGAGCAGCAAATGTTGGAAAGAATAGAAGACTCCTTTTGGATGTTTTCCCACTGGCTTCCAAAGACAGTGGATAAGCAATGTATGAATACCCAAACATTTGGGTTTTTATCTTCATTAAATCCTTATACAAACTTTTAAATCCTGTCCACCACTCATTTATCTACACAATGTATTTGGAAACAATAAAGGAAAATCAAGGAGGCATTTAGTTGGCAGGAGCATAGAACCTGAATTCAATGGTTGGCTTTGAAAAGCATGACTATAGCTGTGTTGCTGAGACATTCCACTGGGAAAGGAAACCTGATGATATTCCAGGAGAGTGTGTTGCATTTGGTGTCAGTGGAAATGGAAGGACTAAAGTTTGTGAGTGAATCTCCAGCAACACACCATTTCTCATCTTGAACTTAATCATCTGAGCTGATAAAATGGATGCCACACAAGCAATATAGGATGCTACGATATGAGATTTACTTTGGGTACTCCATAATACATAGGGACCTGCCAACAGTATTTGGGGTAATTAGGAAGCCCAGTCTCTCTAATAACAGCATAGACATGTAAATAAAGTGACAGTGTAAAGCCTGTGGCAGTAATTTATTCAATTCACAAGTATGGTGAGAGAGACAGAGAGAAAGAGAGAGCTCTTGGTGTTGGATGCTAACATAAGAGAACCCAGAAATAGACCCACAAGAAATACACCTGATATTTTTCACACAGGTTCATAAGAAATTCAATGGAGGAAAGACTACTTTTTCAACCAATAGTGCTAAAGCAGGTGGAGTTCAGAAGAAAGAAAAAAAAATACCTCAAATTAAACTCATACCTTATAAAAAATTAATTCAAAATGGATCATAGGCTTAAATTAAAAACGTAAAACTGTAATTTGTTTTTAAGACAGGGTCTGGCTCTGTCCCCCAGGTTGCAGTGCAGTGGCGCGATCTCGGCTTACTGTGACCTCCACCTCCCGGGCTCAAGCAGTCCTCTTGGCTCGGCCTCCTGAGTAGCTGGGACTACAGGTGCCTGCCACCATGCCCAACTATTTTTTTTTTTTTTGTGTTTTTTTGTAGAGGTGGAATTTTGCTATGTTGCCCAGGCTGGTCTGGAAATTCTGAGCTCAAGCGATCTTCCCACCTTGGCTTCTCAAAGTGTGTAAAACTTTTAGAGAAAAACAGAAGAAAATCTTTGAGACCTAGAGCTAAGCAATCAGTTTTCAGACTTGACACCGAAAGTGTGATTCATAAGAGAAAATTTCATTAAATTAGAGATCATCGAATTAAAAAAAAAAACTAAATAACTTTTGGATAGTGAAAGACCTTTTGAAGAGGATGTAGTAAAAGAATGGGTGGAAATATTTGGAAACCACATATACTACAAATGACTGCATATCTAGAATATATAAAGAACTCTCAAATCTAAATAGTAATGAACAAAAAATGTAATTAGAAAACATTTAAAAGGCATGAATAGATTATTTCACCTGAGAGGATGTATAATCTGCAACCAAGCACATGAGAAGATATTCAACATCATTAGCCATTAGAAAAATGCAATCTAAAACCACAATGAAATATAACCATGAGATATCAACATGACGAAAATTAAGAAAAATAGTGAAAATAGTAAATGCTGGTGAGGATGCAGAGAATCTCTCATGCATGGCTAATAGAAATGTCAAATGGTATAGTCACTCTAAAAAGAATATGAAAGTTTCTTACAAAACTACATATGTAACTACCATGTGACCAAGCAGTTGCATGCCTGGGCGTTTCTCCCAGATAAATGAAAACTTATGTTCCACAAAAAACCTTTATGCAAATGTTTGAAGTGGCTTTATTCAAAATAACTCCAAACTGGAAACAACACAATTGTCCTGCCGTGGGTGAATGGTTAAACAAACTGTGGTACTGTACCATGGAAAGGTATCACCTTGCAGTCATGTGATAGGTGGTAGTCCAGCCTACATTGAAAGAGATAGATGAAATCAGCACCATTCTTTTGGAAATCAATCTGGTTACATCATGTAAGTTCACAATACACACACCACATAACTGTACTATCCTACTGGTGGGTGTTCTTTCTGTTCAAACTGTAACACATGTTCATAGAAAGTCATACAATAATGCTTATTGCAGTGTTGTGTGTGATAGCAAACAAAAACCAAAACAGATTTTAAAAAGGAAATGAATGAACTAGATCTACGAGTGTTATCATGTAAAAATTTCAAGAACACAAAATTGAATAAGAAAAGTCAATTGCCAAAAGAGATATACAATAAGATGCCAAACGCATATAATGATCAACACTTAGAATCATGTGGCTAGATAAATAGATGATAGATTGACTGAATAAAAGATAAGAGTCTGAGCACAGAAAAATGGATAGGAATGATACACAGCAACTTCAAAATAGTAGTTTGTCTAGGGAACAAGAGATTAGAAAAATAGGGAGTAAGGCTGTAGCTAATTCTATAATGTTTTATGTCTTTTAAGAAAGATCTAAAGCAAATAATTCAAACCATGTTAACATCTGCTTAATCTCAGTGGTAGGTACATAGATATCTGTTACTTTGTTTTTATGTATTGAAAATATTTAACAATTTTAAAAGAAAGAAAAAGGAGGCAAGCAGGAAAGAAAGAGGCAATTTGCTGGAAGAAATTTTATAAGTAATAAACCTGTACCTTCCCCATGGCAGTTTTATTTTATCCTTCTATCTCCTAAAGCAGTAATCTGGAGAATAAAATGTTTCCCTGTGAGATTTCAATGAAGGAGGGGGAAGGCGACACGTCTTCAAAGTGACAGGTTGGGGTGGGGTAGGGGGAGGTGACATCTCTCAAGCCTCCTTCGTTGTGGCTGCACCCCTAGGTCAGGACAGCTGGGATATTGCTGGCATTTTTAGCAGAAGTCACCTTGGCAGGCTCGTAAGAGCAGTTCCCTCTGGTTGGCAAACATATTCAAGAGTGCTCACACTTGCCTGTTCAGGTCTTTTCCTTATGGGCTTGTGAAGGTCAGCAGGATGGGCGAGTACTCATCTCCTCCCAACCTTGACAGCTTGTAGAAACATGCCAAGTGTGGTCGTCAACATGTTCGTTAAACCACCACAAAGTCCTGACACAAATGATAGCTTTTTCTTCTCCTTGGTGATTATTCATCAAAATATTGTATATAAAATAATTAAGTTCTCACATAATTTCCAGACTATTTTGTGAACTTGGGCCCTGGTTGCCTTTTTTTTTTCTTTTTTGCCTTCCAAACTGTTCTTACTGTTCTTGTTTCCATTGCCCACTTCTATTCCCAAACAGCAAACAGAGACTTTAGCTGGGTCGTAGAACATTTCCTTTTGGAATACATGAGATAACATTTCTAAATCTGCCACTAGGTCTCTCAGCTAAGGCAGATCCTCAAATTAATAAATAGAATTCATTATAAAATAGATATATAAAACAGACTATAAATGCAATTGTTTTCGATGAAGATTAAACAAAGTAAGTTAATACCAAATACAGAAATTATGTACATATCTATATATTTGTCATTAGTTATGAGAGTAATTACAATCCTATCTCTCAGAAACATCATGACCTTAAATAAAAACAACACTGCAAACAAAGCAGTCAGAATGTCTACTGGAGTAAGAGAAATTTTGATTTAAAAAAGCAATTTTACACTGACAAAAACAACACGAACATTCTAGAAAGTATTTTGAAATGCACTTGAGAAGCTTGAATCCAAAGAAAATCAGTAAAATCATGGTTGAAACATAATCTCTGGAACCAGACCCACTGGGCTGGGATGTTCATTCAATATTTATTTGTTACACAATCTTGAGCAATTTACTTCACTATCTTGTGCCTCAGTTTCCTCATAGGGTTGTTGAGAGGCTTAAATACATGAAGTCCTTAGAATAGCACCTGGCACATACACAATGTATTGGTCTTTTTGATATGTCAACTTGACTAAGCTGCAATCTCTAGTTGTTCAATCAAACACTAATCTAGGTGTTGCTGTGAAGGGCCTTTGTAGATGTGATTAAAGTCCATAATAAGTTGATTTTTAAGTAAGGGAGATAGTCCTAGATAACCTGGTGAGTTTGATTTGATCAGTTGAAAGGCTTTAAAAGCAGAACTGAAGATTATCTGAAACAGAAGAAATTCTACCTGTGGATAGCAACTTCTGCTCATGGCTGAGTTCCAGCCTGCCTTCCCTGATGGCCTGCCCTGTGGATTTTTGAACTTGCCACCATCACATAAGCCAGTATTTTGCAACAAATCTCTCACTCTATATGTCTTCTTTGCTTCTCTGGTTGAATGCTGACTGACACACCCATATAGCACTGTAAAATACAGCACAAAAAAAAATACGATTATTTTAGGTGAGCACTTTACCTGAGTTAACAGAAGAGCAGATAAGGCCTAAAGTCTGCTCAGGAATAGGAAGGCACACACAAAAATATCTGAAGGGAAGCTAGTTCCTAGTAACTGAGAGAGCCAATGAGCAGGTTCTTAAATTCTTATCCCACCATGAGACCAAGGGTTGGGCATCTTTCTCCCTCAGTCAGTCCTGGCCTCACCCCGAACCATCCTTCCCATATGAGAAGAAACTCTGGGGGCAATGAATCATTCCTCACAAGACCTCAAGAGTTATCTTTGTGATTTTAAAAATTGTAGTATAGTTTTCAACAAACTACAAAATGCTTATTTTTTTTTCTATTTAACTACCTGATTTAATTGTAAAGGCCTTGAATTTTTTTTTTAGATGGAGTCTTGCTCTCTTGTCCAGGCTGGAGTGCAGTGGTATGATCTTGGCTCACTACAACCTCCACCTCCCAGGTTCAAGCAATTCTCCTGCCTCAGCCTCCCAAGTAGCTGAGACTACAGGCACCCCCCACCAGGCTGGCTAATTTTTGTATTTTTAGTACACACAGGGTTTCTCCATGCTGGCCAGGCTGGTCTCGACCTCCTGACCTCAGGTGATCCTCCTGCCTCGGCCTCCGGAAGTGTTAGGATTACAGGTGTAAGCCAACCGTGCCCAGCCTTTTGAAATTCTTGAGAAAAAATTCCATCTTATCTCCTCATACAGAGTGGATTTTTTTTTTTTTATGATTGGGGCATGGTCATAAAACCTGGTTGGTGTGGGGCTCTGTCTGCCAGGGTATGCTTGACTACTTAGAATTTGAAAAGTGGGTAATTCTTGAATCCACCAGGATGGTTGAAAAATGCACTCTACCATTACAGAAAAGAGGATTCTTCTAATATGGGGTCATTTTCCAAGTTGGTCACAAATGTGACAGTGTGGAACTATGGTTTGACAGCTGGCTTAATTTTGCTCAGCACTCTGTGTGTACGTATGTGTGTGTGTGGTAAGCATATTCTGTTCTGTTGAGAATCATTTCCTTTCTTTCCACTTGGTTTTCTTTGACCTGCTCAGAACATCTTTACATTAATGTATTCTTCCCATTAATAGCAGTTGCTGACAATTGACTCAATGCAATTCCTCCATAGAGGGCAAGTGGCGGAAGAAGGTGAACTCTTGAGATTTCACCAAGGCCCACACTTAGATTTGTGCAAATGGATTAATGAAATACCTTCTCCTTTGTGCCTATATTTTACTCACGTTGTTAAGCTCTATTTTGAATGAAAGAGATTGAACTACAATGACGTATTAAAGATAGCAACATTCAGCGCTATAGGTTACACCTAGAAATAAGGTAAATCTGTACTTGTAAATATTATCATTTGCATCAATCTTAGGCCAAATGATAAAATCTGCCTACTCTTGCTGGAATCAATCCTTGGAGGTTCTCCACCCTTCCAATCTTACAAACTTTCTCAACTATAAACACTTTACTCCAGGAAATGATCTGAAATAATCAGTTCCAAGGCATTTATGAAATAGTGTCAATTAATCACTGTTAAGAGTTGGGGAGAAGCAATTTTTAAGTCTTCCCTTTGATTGTATGAAGAGTTTCACAACATTAGTTTAAGTGTGTAGTATAAAGAGGACGTCGGAAGAGAAGCCCTTTATTTTTCAGGCAGGGAAGATTATTCCCAGCCCCTTGGGTGCAGCAGCTATATTGACACAGAGAAGCACAAAGCAAAGATGAATAGCCTGGATTCAAGTCATGTATTGACAATAAGTGTATGCCTCTGGGTAAGTCATTTCACTCCCTGAGCTTCAGGTTCAGGTTCATGATCTGTAAAATAGTTGTCATGTACCTACTTTAGAGGGTTATGTTGAAATTTTTAAATAATTGCTTACTTTACAATTCTTTGTAAGTTGTAAGCTCTCTGTAAACACAAAGACCTATTTTTCTATCTGTAAACACATTGACATCTCCTCCCAGGATGCCTCTGCTTCCAGCCAAGAGCTCACTATCCAAAAGGCTAGAAATCAGAAAAGCTGTGGCTTAACAAGTCCTCAGTAAGTGCCAGGTACTGTTCTGAACACTTCAGTTGAATAACTCATTTAATCAGCACAACAACCCTACCAGGTAGGTAATATCAGTATCATCATCATCTGCATTTTTCAGAGAAGGAAACGGAAGCATGGAAAGATTGAGTAATATACCTACGCTTACATAGCTTGGAAGTTACGGCACTGGAATTTGAATCCAGGTGTGCTGGTTTGAAAGCAGAGCTGTAACAACTCCACTCTACCGTGATAAGTATAAATCAAATAATCCTATGATTTAATAATATTCAATTCTGCTGTAGCAAATAAGAAAAGAAGGATAGATAAAACTGGATAAAGGTGAAAGTAACTTGGGAGATAGGCTGGGCATAAAGTGAACAGATCCTATGTGTTCAGAAGATGGGTAGGATGGAATGGAAGGGCCAAGTGGGCAATGAATATTCCTGAGGCTTTACCTGAGCCATTCATGGGTGACACCCATTCTGGCCCATATATCCTGTGTCTGGAAATACAGATAAAACTGTAGCTGCTCATCAGGCTAACTGGCAAGCTACAGGTATTGGCCAGATAGACTTATCCTGTGTGCTTCAGAGCGTGCAACTGTGTGTTGACTCCAGGTGTCTTCCATCTGCTGAGACCCCTGGCTCAAATTTCTGCTCTGACCTTTACAACTCCATCACCCACAGGGAATTCTGATATGGTACAGAGATGGGACATGTGAACATTGTGTACCCCAGGATTCAGGTAATGTTGTCCTCCCACCCCACTAGGATGTTACCCCTAGATTATTAACACCCTATTTATTCTCCTTACTCTTACTGTATTTTTTAAATTAATTTAATAACCAGTGTGATAATTTGCTCTGTGAGCCTGTCTGTTCTGTGACCTCTGGGATAGCTTAAATATTGGTATACTTGGCAGTTACTTGGAATTTCATTTTCCACAGGATGCCCTAAATTTCACTATAGTCAGTAATTTCAAGTTCTCCTACTACCAAGCTACTAATAAGTAATAAAAAAAATTAATTTTTATAACCTCCATTCCTTTAGCCACTTGGTGACACTGAAAATGAAGCTAGTAATGATTATGATGACCATGAAGTGATGTGATGGTTTTTCATGTTTTTTGCATATATGATACCCAAGAACATTGCTGGGTTGTTTGCATGCACCATTTCATTTTATCCTTGCAACAATCTCCTTAGCTGCTTATCATTAGTATCCTGATTTCGAATATGGGGAACATCAAAATAGTTGAGTAGTTGGCCCAATGCCATACATGCATTTCATGGCTGAACAGGAAGTCAAACCAGGTCTGACTCCAGAGTTGCCCATTTAGTCATTGGTCAGTGGTATTAATACATCTAAGCTCCCCAAATCAAGTGCACACTTACAGAAAAAGATCAATATGAGAAGGACTTGGAGACCCCACAAGTTGAAACAATAGCCTTTGGTAAACAAGAGTTGACAGTATACATGTACTTATCTGAGCACTTGAAAATACATGTACCTGAGAACTTAGAAAGAAAATAAATTTAAATAACTCTTTGAAAGCACCATTTAAAAATGGGTACATTTTGCCTACTAGCTGCTGAAAGCAATGAACTCCAGAAGGGAAAACAAGGGACCATGAAAAAGATCTTCCAATTTTTATTTTCACAATTCTGCATTCTATACAAGGCTATATAATTTGATATCCTTTTAGAAACAATAAACAGAGGGAAAGAAATATCATTTACATCTCCAAATATGTTGCTGGTGGACCAGGGCAGATTTTCATATATCTGAGGAAGCTTAAGCTTCAGAGACCCTTCCAAGAACTTGTACTTATTATAATTTTGGATTTGTCATTTTGTATAAGCTTCTGGCCCCACAAAAAAATGTAATTGCCCTATGAAGACATAGTTGGTAACAGAAAAATACCAAAATATAAACAATTCAGTTAGAGTATCTTGCTTAGTATTGCCATCAAACAGTGCTATGAGACAATGCCAGCACATTTAAAATTCTTTTAAAATAACTTTAAATATAGCTGAAAATAACTTTAAAAATGATTTTCAAACATTTAATTTCTTTTAGTAATTTAAGAGAAATATTAAAGGGCAGCATGTTTCCTATTCTTTGTTTTATTTCCCTGCTCTTTTGATTCCTTTTTCCTCCAAATGCATCTGCTTTTTCATAGAAGGCAGAAAAGATGGCAAGGCAATTTCAGCAGGGAATTTTATGCAGATGCAGTATTTACGATGGTTGTCCTGGGGAGAGTCTGTGATTAATGATCACATATAACCTGGTTCAATATTTATATTTTTAAAGTAGGCTTCCTCATTGGCAGCAATGTACTACAAAGTGGACTAGACATCGAAAGATCTCTTAATCCGAGGACATAGACCAATGGGTCAGTTGGGTACTGTTTATAACTTTTATGATCAATGGTTTTGAAGGTCATGTGTGGTACACATTTATTTAGCCTGCCAGTAGTAAGTCTGCTTCCTGGATATGTTAACAAAATTGCTAACATTAACAATTTTCTTTACCCGGCATTTGGATGCTACTTATTTTTCCAAACAATGAGTTTTAAGACAGATTCATCATACCTACCTAGATCGTAGGGACACTCAACCACAGTATTCCTCTGACTTTCAGTTTCTTCACTCTAGAAATTAGCCAGGAACTCATGTAATTGAGAAGATAATTATGCGTAAGAAGCAGCAACAGGAACAACCATAGCAATAGGAGACCCTCCAAAGTGAGGTTATTAGAGAAGTGCATTAGACTCACACCTCCTCGGAATATCTTTTAATTTTATGTTTTGTTTGATTTTTGTTTCAGATTCCTTCCACTGCAAGTTTTTTGCCTGCCTTTGGGAGGCCTCAAGCTAGTGGTTCTATACTCTGGTTGCACTTTAGAAATACCTGGGAGAGCTTTTAAAAAATGCTTTAGCAGGGCCATATGTCTAGAGATTTTGTCCGATTGGTAGAGTCCAAGCATTAGTATTTCTAAATGGCTTTGCAGAGGACTATGATGTGTAGCAGGGTTGAGGTCACTCCTCTGAGCCATGACTAACATTACACTGCTCTTCCAATGTTCTACAGTGTATTTCTCCCCTTGGGTGGCCCTTATCCTCTCCTCTCCCTTCACTCTTCCTTTCAGTAAACCTCTCTTATGCTCTATTTCATCGTCATTCAAGAAACATTTATTACATGCACACATATGTTTATTGCAGCACTGTTCACAATAGCAAAGACTTGGAACCAACCCCAAAGCCCATCAGTGATAGATTAGATAAAGAAAATATGGCACAGATACACCATGGAATACTATGCAGCCATAAAAAAGGATGAGTTCATGTCCTTTGCAGGGACATGGATGAAGCTGGAAACCATCATTCTCAGCAAACTAACACAAGAACAGAAAACCAAACACCGCATGTTCTCACTCATAAGTGGTAGTTGAACAATGAGAACCTGTGGACACAGAGAGGGGAACATCACACACCATGGCCTGTCGGAGGGTAGGGGGCTAGGGGAGGGGTAGCCTTAGGATAAATACCTAATGTAGATGACGGGTTGATGGGTGCAGCAAACCACCATGACACGTGTATGCCTAGGTAACAAACCTGCATGTTCTGCACATGTATCCCAGAACTTAAAGTATAATTTAAAAAAATTTCCAAAAGTGAAAATAATAATAATAATAAAAGGCCTAGAGAACAACAACAACAAAAGAAACATTTATTACGTATTTTAAAACTATCTGACACTGGACTAACATTGGGGATATAAATAAATAAATAAAAATAATGATAATGGAAATACAGGCACTGTCTTTGAAGCGTCAGAGTTAATCAAGTAGATGATTGGAAGCCAACCATCCTGATTTGTCTGGGGCTGGGAGTGCATTTGTGGGGAGCACCTTAGATGTGCAACTTTCAGTGCTAAAACCAGGAAAGCCCTGGGAGCACTGGGCCAAGTTGCTCACCCTAACTAGGAAACAATGAGGAATGGAAGAACTCTGTCTGGAGGGCTGAGGAAAGATTATGAATGTGGCTATACAAACCCAGTTGAGCTCCTGTCTTGAAACATGAATAAGTACAGTATTTGCTTTGTACATTAGAGTGGAAGAATGAAAGGCATTAAAAATGCCCATAGTGGCAATGGCAGCATTGAAGATGTTCATATTTTTATAGTTACTTAAATTTTTCCCGGTTGAGAAGTCTAACTTTTTAACTCAGTATTTTCGAAACCTCTATGTTGTCATAGAATTTGTTCATCCAAGACTTTTAAATATCTCCTAGACCCACTATTTTGGGAAATGCTGGAGAAGGGTAGTTCACAGAAATGAGAATGGAGAAAGGGCAGAGATAGGCTGGGGACAGGAGTTAGAAGGACATACTAAGAAGTTTGAAATTTTTCTTATGGGTAATGAGGAGTTTTGAGTTTTTAAATGGGAAAATAGCCTCGAAAGTGTTTAGTTTTAAAAACTAAAACTCTTTCTTCAAAGTTTTTTTTTTTTTAACTTCCCTTAAGATGCCTGTTCACTGTGGGTCTCATGTAGATGGTTAGCCTTGAGTGGGGTTTACCACAGCTTTGGGTTGGATTCTCAAGCAACCTGAGCCTGGGAAGAAGCAGTTTTGGAAAGGTCCTTCCTATGGCTTTCTGCACAGGGCACTAGAGGAGAAAGAGACTGGGGGAAAAATGAAGAAGTTAGTAGGTGGTCAGTTTACCTGTGTGAAAAATGATAAGGGATGAACTAAGATACTGGTTGCAAATGGAAAGGAAATAAAGTTTCAGAGATTTATATCAAGGGTACTATTAATAATAAAAGGGAAGTAATAATGTTTGTTTTTAAATCCCCTGGCTTCAAAGTAGAAGGTAGAAGAGAAGATTTGAAATTTTCCCAACACAAAGATATAACAAATATTTGAGGTGAGGGATATCCTAATTACCCCGATTTGATTATTACACATTGTATGCATGTAGGAAATATCACATGTACCCCATTAATGTCTACAACAATTATGTATAAATTTAAAAATAATAACAAAGAAAAGATTTATAAATAGGCATGTATTAGTAGTCAATTTATTTCTATTGCTGAATAGTATTCCATTATGAGGATTTACTACAATTTGTTTATCCATTCACCAGCTGATGGATATTTGGATATTCCCAGGTTTCAGCAATTATGCATAAGGCTACAATACATATTAAAAAAATAGACGAATAAATTCTCTGTCTTCAAATTCGTAGAGGGTAGGATTCCAAATAAAAACCCAAGAGCCAGTTAAATTTAATTTCAAATGAACAACAAAATGTTTGAGTATGTAAGTATGTCTTAGGCAATATTTTTTTCTAAATCCTAAAAGAGGATGAATTCACATTTTAAATTTCCATCTCATCTGATGGAGAGATAACGACTCTCCAGAAAGATATGCTTCCTCCCTAAAAAAGGGTTGTATCAACATGAGATACAGTGCAGTCCACTCTCTGAGTAACAGGTGCTTCAAATGGGCTACACAGGCCTCTGTTGGTGGACAGAGATAATAAACTGAACTTAGTAGTTGCTATAATCATTTATGAGGTTTTTGCTATGAACAGTCCTGTAGATCCAAACTTTTATTACTTACGTCAAACAGGAGAATCACCTCATCCCAGGCATATTATTCCGATAGTGGTATGCTATAAAATAATACGCTAACATGGAGACCTGGCAATCGCATGTATATTTAGTGAAATCGGGGGGGGAAATTCAGAAAACATTACTTTCAGTGAATTTTCAAGTATTGGCTGTTTGTAATTCAAGCTATTTTAAATTAAAACTATGGCCAAGGAATGTATGGGTACTCGGTGATTATTTTAGAGTTGGAGTCTACTCCTAGCATGTCTATTTTCCTTTCAATTGATGATTCCTCTCAGATTACATATGCTGGGGCATGCAGTTAGGGGAGGCTGCGTCCCTAGCATGCTGATGGCTAGACCATGATAGGGACACAATATTCTGACATAGATCTTTGTGGTAGTTTGCTAACAGCCTCTCGTTCTTCTCGTGTCCCTGTGTATTAGACTTTGTTCCCTTACCCATCCAGGAGGGAACCTATTAATCTACCCTTTGAATATGAAGTACCTGTGACTGGCTTCCACAGATAGACTGTATGGAAAGTGAAATTGCATAAGTTCTAGAGCTTAAGCCTGAAGACCCCATGTGGCTTCTGCCCTTATCCTTCCATACCTGTGGCTGAGTTGTCAAAAATATCTGTTCTGAAAAGGGACAGGCCCATGGCTGGGAACTTTCTGTTTGGAAAACCTATAGTGGGAGGGCTCCAAGGATACAATATGGGAAAATGTGACTGTTAACTCAGAAGTTTAGGCTACAGGGTGAAACACCACTTACATAGAAGGAGACCAGCCTTCTAAGTGGTTTTATTGAATACACTAAAATAATCTTTCTCAAACATAGTATTGAGATGCTATTCCTTTGCTTTAGATATTTCAATAACCGGATCCACCCCTAATATTTGCAATGGTTTAGGCCAAGAGAACAAATGTAAATCCACATAGATATGGATAAAAATAGAAAAGTTATACAACAATTTAACAAACTCTAAATAGAATAAATCATTTTGTAAGAAGATGCCTTCCTGTTGACAAAATCTAAACATACATTTAAGCTAAGGTTTTTATATGAAGTCAGAGGAATAATAAAAACAGCTGAAGTGTGTTTGCTTCATGCATGTCTGAGTATTCTGATATAGTTCAATGATTTTAGGCTAAGAAAATGAAAACACAAAATGTATAGCTTGTTAGATATTAATTCTGTAATATTAATCTTAGGAAAATCACTAATTGTGGTAGGTATTCTAATCAAAATGTTCACATATTAATAATTTGTTCAAGTGACAACAATGATATAAATTATAAATACTAAAAATGTACAAAATTAATTTTGAATATATTTTCATTATTTATGCTAAAGTAAATGTAAAAAATGAAAATTATTTTTCATATGTCTTTTCAAAGAAGACTTTTCTCCAAAAACATTAAAGTTATCTATTATAATTAAAATGCAAATAAATAAATTCTAATAAGGGAATATCACAATATTAAATAAGATATTTTTAAATAAAGCCTGTACTCTCATAAAACAGTTTTGGAGCTGGGAAGCCACGAGGAAGAGAAGCAAGTCACTGGGCCAAAAGGCCCACTCAACTGTCACACACCCAGAATAAGGTCCAGGTGAGCCCAGCTATGCCCAGGTGGGCCCAGCCCCCAGGGGACCCCCCCCCCCCAGTTGAACATAGCCTCCAGAAAGAGCACAGGCAAGATGAGCAAAAGAATCAATTGGTCAATACAAAGAACTGAAACAAATACTCCTATATTATTTGGAATCTGAGACAGTATCATTCCCATGTACACATGCAGAAAGGATGCTGAGCATAAATGGGTTGCCCAGCATAATACAATCACTACAGGCAGGCACCATGATTTTAAACAAAATCTCTGTAATTCTTTGCCTTTTCTGCTGTATGTTAGGAAGCTGCAGAGAATCTTCAGAATATTAAGGAAAACTGTAATTGGATTGAGATGAACCCTTTGGCCCAAAGATTTTATCTGTCAGGTAAAGTCAATCCTTATTTTTAGATTCTCTGACTCTTGTAGAAAATTAAATGCAAATTTTTATTTGGCACTGACTGTAGGAATGAATGTGTGTCAAATGAACTAAATCAGATAACATTAAGAAGTATTTAGCAAAAGGCTTGGAACTAGCATAAATATTATTTCACTTTCTAGCTGCACACATATAGACCTGGCCAAAAATTAAAATTCATTACATTCAGTGAAACCATATGTATCTGGTTTATAAAACTTATTATCCAAGGCATAATTAATCAAGCATATTAAATTAACAGACAGATATTTGTTGAGCTCATACTGTGCAAGAGGCTCTGTGTTGGATGCTGTATCACATGTTCCATCTGAAAAAACAGTGGATAACTTCTGTTCACTGGCTTAGATTTCTGGAACTATGTGGATATTTTACTTAGGTGGTAATAATAATGAATGAGAGCCCTTGATTAAATGTTGTGCTCGAAGGTATGTGAATCATTGGCCATCCATGTATCAAACAAAACATATTCCTGCTTTATATATTTTGCCCAGAAATATATTGATAATACTGTTTATCCATTTCAAATAGAACTTAAGAGGGACCTACATTTTATTTTATACTCTTTAGTTATGTGAATATTTCTTTATTCTGTACATTTATTTATATTAAAAAATAAGTTTAAAAAGTGTATGTTTTCAGAAGCTAACATATTTAAGATCTGTGTATATCTTTTGAAATTATTATTATATGAGCATTTATTTATATTATATAATATACTTTTATTTTTGTATTGATTTTCTAGGGCTGCCATAAAATGTCACAGACTGGAGAGCTTTTAAACAATAGAGATTTAATTTCTCACAGTTCTGGAGGTTGAGTGTCCAAGATCAAGGTGTTGGCAGGTTTGGTTTCTCCTGAGGCCTCTCTTTTTGGCTTGCGGATAGCTGCCATCTCTCTGTGTCCTCACATGGTGTGTGCACATCCCTGGTGGCTGTTCATGTGTCCAAATTTCCTCTTCTTATAAGGACATCAATCGGATAGGATTAGCACCAACTCTAACAACCTCACTTAGCCTGACTCACCTCTTTAAAGTCTATCTGTCCACATGCAGTCACATTCTGAGGTTCTGAGGGTTAGGACTTCAACATATAAATTTGGAGGTAACACAAAAACTAGGGAGGGACATAATATAACCCGTAGCAATTTTTATTATCTTATTTACAACAGAATATGTATATCCTTTTATATTATTATTAAAGGACACTTTATATATTCCTCTTTAGATTATTCTAACATTTTACACTTACTTATTTGACTGTAACAATAACTAGCAGTTAATATTTAAAGCTTACCATCTGGTGTAACAATAATGATTTTATATTAATTATGGCATTTAAGCCTCGTAGTGACCATAAGAGCCAGCTACTGCTATTATTCCTATTGCACTGGTGAGAAAACTGAGATTAAGAGTTGTTTGTTGACTTGTAAAGTTACATGACTGCTTAGTGGAGAGACCAGATTGTAGTCCAGGCCCTTTGCCTGCAAAGCAGCCCTATGAAATCGGTATTGCAGGTACTATGTAATTTCTTGGGGGTTGCAGGGTATGAATTGTTCCCTTATCATATTTTGAATTCTTATATGGCAGGTCCATTTATTCATCTTTGATGCTAAAATTCTAGCCTGGCAAAGAGTTGGTGTTCAGTACACTATTGACTTGATGCTGATTAGTTTTAACCATCGTTATTTTCTTTTAAGAAATAAAGAGATACTGGATAAGTAACCGCGACGTATTCAACCTAGCATCCCAAAGTAGTTTAGCTACAGGGAGCATATAGCATATCAGTAAACATTTTGTTGAACTTGAAAGCAGGGTGCTTCATAGATGTTTGAATCAAGCCAAATTAAGAGATTGAACTGTTTGCCTAAAGCGACCCAGTTAACTGGTGACCAATTTAACAGCAAAACAAAACAAAAACACTAGGACTTTATTCCATTTCTAGTCCAGTTACTTTACTTTTACATCTAAATGCTCCATTTATGAGTGAAGTCACCTAGTAAAGTTTGTAGGATAGAGAAACCGATAGTGTCTACTAATTTTTTAAAATGGCTTGTGAGGTTTCCTTCAAAAAGAGAATCACAACTCACAGCTTTTCTTTTCTGGCAATCAGATATTTATTTAATAACACAGAGCCAGCTTGAGATGAAAGCAATTTAGTGCTGTCTTTAGAATGGCCACAGCAGCATATTCTTTATTTTATAAGAAAAAAATACTTGATTGGGCAAGCAATTAATATTATATATGCCTGCATACTGTAAGATAGCGAATGCACCTGTGCGTTGAAGGCTGTTTCGCTGTAACACCTACCCATTGTGCTTTCACATTTTGGCCAGTTTCAGCTTTAGCTTTGAATGGAAAGCCCTGGGGTCTCAGTGTGCTTTCCATTAGAATCCAATTCATCTTTGTTTCCCTCCTTCAGCCATCTGGTTACTACTGTGAGTAAATGGGAATTGGGATGCTTTATCAAAGCACAGAATGATGAAATCCCAAGCACCTCAAATGGTTCCTAGCTTTTCCACTTAGAAATCACAAGCAATCCATTCCCTCTTTTTGCCCCTTTCCTCATAGCCGTGCCACATGTTATCTTAACAGGCTTTCTTTGACTTTCTAGCTTGTAAAAATAAGATAGAGGTAATTTCTTAAACACTTCTCATACTCAAATAATCACAGAGATGTTTCACCTAATTCTATGTAGGTAGCTTCAATGCACGTATCTGTGTAAGATGTACACATTTTTTCCTTTTTATTAAGTTTTATGCTGCATGCAATACTAACTGATTCTGCCACTCACCGTGTACATCTTTTTAAATAAAAAATTTTATTTCTTTACCATTTAATGTGCTTATCTGCAATGTGGAGACAGTAAGTCTGAATTATTTCAGTGGTAACCTGGGAAAATAATTTAGTTTGGAAAGAATTTTGAGTTTTCCTGCTGAAAGATTTTATAATTGATATTACTTTTATTTCCATCAACAGAATGCTGAAAGTTATAAGAAAAAAAAATTTAAGTGAAAAAGGTCCGAGCCTCATGCTCACCTCTTCAAGCATAATTCTGTTTCATCAAACTTGCCTCACATTCACTTCTGTATGTGATTGGACCACAGAAAGCAGAGACTCCACAAACTCATTACAATCAAATGGGACTTGAATTCTCTTGTCTAATGTCATAATAAGCAATTATGAGCATCTTCTCAGCATTCAAATTCGGGTAATGGTGAAGCCCTAGAGAGGCATTAGATGCTGGCAGACTCTGGCTGATGGAATGTGCATATGCTCAATGGTTCCCTAAAGGCAGAATGGGGAGCTAGATGCCAGGGCAGATTGCCCTCAGTATTTAGGGTAGACACTACCTTCAATTATGACTTGTGTTTTATAATCAGGGCAGTTATAATAATATGTGTGTTCATTCTGGAGAACTCATTGTGGCAACAGAACGAACAGCATTTTCTGTCTATTTCCCATTTTCATTGGAGAATAGCAAATGAATTTCTTCTTTCAACTTCACATTTTCCTGATGAAGTCTGGGAAAATATTGGTTGCTACTATATGTTATTATTTCATTTTAAGTTAAATCTCCTTTTGTCGACTCTGGGAAAGGTAGCAGATTTTATATTATCAGTGGAACACTTTGCAGTGATAATTAGATAAATAAACACTTGCCACCCTAAGGAAGTAGTGCCTCTTAATTATTAGAAATTTTCCCTCCAAACAAATTAGTTACTAAATTGTAGTACTCTCTTCTGCTGAGCCTTTGCAGCAAAATGTGATGTCCTCTGTCTTTTTTTCACAAAACCAGATGACTGTTAAGGGATATTACTGCTTGACAATATATGATTCAGTAAAATAATTATCAAGTGACATTTATACATATTGTAAAATCTTTACATTGGAGATCTTTGGAAGAAAGTACCTTTCATATGTATCAGCCTAGATAGTACAAGAAACATAGGATGTTGGACCAAGTTAAAGAGCTCTGAAAAAATATCAGTTTTTTTTTAACTGTGAAGAAAAACATAGAGAAGTAGGGATGTTCTGCAGGAATTATTGACATTATTTTTATATATGCATAATTTTTACCTTTTTCAGTTCCAAAAACTATTTAAAAGCATATAATACACATAGAAAAGTAAACTATTATAGATACACTAAATGTGTAGACCAAGCCCTAAAGCTTCAATACTTAAAGATGTTACATCTATTATGTGGTCCATTTTTCCCCCGGCAAAATCAATGTAGTTATTTCATTTGTCTCAACAACCAAATTACCCTGATGCATGGTTGATCTGATCCATGATGGATCGGATTCCAGCATCAATTATTGGAATGGTCCACATTCTGATGTGGCTATCCCATGCAGATGTTGTCAAAGTGCCCTGTGAACCAAACCTCAGTGGCATCTCAAATAGATTGCTTTGATGCATACACATCAGAAATCCTTTCTGACTCTTCAGATCATCAAGGTAAGCTATTTTAAGAATGTTTTACCTAGCAATGACTATTTTCTCATTTGGTATCTTACCTTATTCAGATATTATAGTCTCTCTAGGTTTACAAAGACAGTTGCCAATAAAAGGACTAGCAACTGTTTTTGCAACATTTCCTTCCTTTATAAAATCAGATGTAGGAAATTTCATAGCATGTGGACAGAGAAATGAATAAAAATATATAAGCAGTCCCAAACACATTACATTGAAATTATTTTTGAATTACAAAAAAAAAAAGAAGGTTTACTTTAGTTTCAAATTAGCACAGAATTCATGGTAACATTTATTTATTGAATTAGGCTTAAGAATAGGGTGTAAGGATTACAAATAAACTAATCAACAACAAACAATCAAGTAATGACGGGAGACTGGACACAGTTAAAGAGTTGTCTGGAGTTCAGAAGGCCTGCTTTGCGCATCTGCTTTCATAGTTCTGATTCCCTCTGTAATGACTGCGGCCCTCTGTTTCCATCTGATATCGAACGCTAGTAACACTGAGAAGGAAGCAGAAAACAATGCTCCCAAGTGCGAGAAAGAGTGAGTTTTTTCATGCTTTTAGCAATGTGACCTTAGGTATTGATTTATAGCCTGCCGCAGCACCCCAGAGCAAAAGGGAACATTGGTAATTAAGTCAGTATCTGCACTTTCTAAAATAGTGCTGACTTGCCACAAAGAGAGCCCCTTTATTTTTCCTCTCTGTCTCCCAGTGAATGCAGATGCAGGCACTGACCTCTGACCTTTCTCCAAATTCTCTAGCTGCAGCTGTTATTTTTCTTTCTTGGGACCTTTAGCTGCTGATAGACTGGTAAGATTCCTTAAATTGTGTGTGTGACTTTCTTTTAAGCAAACATGAAACAATGTGTACCTCAAGCTTTACTTATAAAATATATCTTTATTGAGCTCAGAATGAAGGTAAATACTTTTACTTGGGCACCTATTAGAGATTTGCCAGATAAGTACCTATGCCCATTGACCATATTCAGAATGCACAGACATTTTTTGGAAGAATTTTATATTTAAACAGAACTTTCCATTGTAAAACTCCCAAGCTTGTAAAGTGTATTGAGTCAGAAATATCGTTGTATTCCATTAGAGTCATTACTGAAATAGGGCCACAAAAGGTAACAGCAATAAAACCAAATACCTTAAGGTATATATGCAAATTATACGCTAATATATGGTAATATGAGTACCATGTTCAGTGGCCATAAAAAATACTAAATATGGCTAATTAAAGGTAGGTACTTTGCTGTGTTTTATACTTCACAGCAATGTGAGAGAGGTAGACTATTATGATAATGACAGCATTGCTTGCTTTGGGGATCACATCCAACATTTTAACACTATTTCTTATTCTGGTGTATTTGTCTATTTCACTGAATGGAATCACTTTTTCTGTTCTCCACCCTAGGTCTTAGATTCATGAAGTTAGTGAAAAACTAAGTAACAAATTGAGTCTTTAGCCTCAAGGAAAACAAATACTTTTCTCCCTAGAAACTTCGGAAGTGTGGTACCCACCTAACGCTCCTCTGAAAATAAGTGCCCCCGACTGGGATAATGGGGTTCAGAAGTCAGCCACACTGAAAATCTGGGTAAAAGGAGCCAAGAATTCTCAGCATACTTGGGAAATGCAAATAATATTTCTCCCAGAAATGCACTTCAATATCAAGGATTTTTTCTTACAGTGAACTCAACAGAATATAATTTTCTTTTTAATTCTAAAAAAAAAATCCTAAGGGAATGAAAAAAAAGCAACAACATTCATAAAAGGACATAAAGTGAATGTGAAATCTACCTGCTTGAAAAATATCTGATTTTCCTTATTTAACTAAATAAGTCATGTGTGTGTATTCAATATGCTAATAGGACTTTAGCCCCCTAAAATACTTTTGCCCCATTATACTAAATACATACTTTATCAGTAGATGCTTGCCTGAAAATTACCTGAATTAGGCGAAAAATCCACTTGAAACCAATTTACCAACTTACTCATGAAATTTATGTTGTAGTTTCTTTCCCACAGCTGCTGTAACACATTACTACAAACTTAGTAGCTTCAAACAACACACATTTCTTATCTCAGACACCACTTTGGAGGTCAGAAATTCAACACAGATCTCACTGGCAAAACTCAAGGTGTCGGCAGGGCTTCAGTCCTTTCTAGAGGCCGTAGAGGATAATTCGGGCCCTTGCTTTTTCCACCTTCTAGGACCCACCTGTATTCCTGGGCTTGTGGCCCCTTCCTCTGTCTTCCAAGACAGCAAGAGCCTGTTGAGTTCCTCTGAGGGACTCTGACCTTCTCTTCTGCCTCTCTCTTTCACGTCTAAGGAGCATAGTGATTACATTGTCTCCCCTAGATAATTTGAGATAATCTCCCTATTCTTAAAAATCAGGTGATTAGCAACCTTCATTCTATCTGCAATTCCCATGTGCCATGTGGTGCAACATATTCACTTGCTGTGGGGATTAGGATATGGAAATTTTTGGAGGTAGGGGAATGTGCATTATTCTACCTGCCACCCTGGCACATGTGTATCAGGAGTGGATTCAGATATGATCAAGCTATGTCCTACCTTCCATGATTTCATAGCCTATCCCAGGAAATGGACATGCAAACAAATACCTGTCATACAGTTTAATGAGTAGTAATAATAGAAGCATCTACATGGTCCACTGGTAAAGGAAGAAGTGCCAAATTTAACTTTGTGAATCATAAACAATTTAAAAGAAAACCAGAGAATTTACTGAAATTTTGAAGAATGATAAAATTTCTGCAAAGATGTCCGGTGGATGGGGATTCAAGGAAAAGATAAAAGTACAGGGTACAGGACAGTAGTATGAGGAGCCTAGAGGTTGGAAGGCTGAGCAGAAGCAAGGATTGATAGTTCATTCATTTTTATATTGTGTTTGATAAGAAACCATGTATAGTTTTTGAACAGTATAGGCATCATATGCAGTATGTGTGTTAGGAAGGTTATATTATACTGACAATGTAGAGGGGAGTTTATAGAGAAACTTACCTGGCATTGAGCACCTTACCAAGGAGATGATTGCAATCCTCCAGGAAAAAAGAATGGTACTGACCTAAACTGAGTCAGGGGCAGTGAGGATGGAGGGGGAGAGATGGATTTGAGAGCAATGGAAGGATTTGCTGAGTGATTGGATATAAAGCCTAGGAGGGAAAATCAGTCAAAGATCCCTTCTGGTTCCTGCCTGGGGTAACTAGTTAGATGGAAATAGCATTAACCAGGATAAGAGTTACAAGAGGTTAAGTAGTGAAGGAGAAAAAGAAAATTGCTTCATCCTGGATATAACGACTTAAAGTGCTTGTGGGAGGATGTTGAGAATCCATCTTTACAACAATGAAAGTGAAGAGATCTGGGTTATTTTGTTGATTTTAAGCCTAGAGAAAATCCCCCAAATTGTAATCTTAGTCCAGTTGAATGAAGAGGTTCTTTGGGAATGGGATGACATGTACAGAAGGGGTCCATGAACAAGGATGGGAAAGGAGACATGGCACAGAGCATGATGAATAATGTCATGAGGGAGAAAGCCAAGGAATGCACAAAAATGTTAAGGATAACTAAAGCACTTTCTAATGTACATTTAGAACAAAGAGAAGGTAGGTGAAAGGCAGGCTGTATATAATATTTGAAAATGACACTGAGCAAGCGAAGATTACAGTGGTTTTTCTTCTTTCTTCAAGAGAATGATCCTCAGATTAAAAATGGGTATAACAAACATGGTAAAGAGGAAATTGGATCCAAGGAGATCCAAAGAGAGAGATACTTAAATAACATCTGTTTTTTTTAAATGTGTTCCTGTCTTTAGACTGAGATTAGGGGGTCCAGGATACCAAAATAATTTCCAGATGTTATCACAAGCATCATTACTCATAATCTCTGAGTAGTTATTGTACTAGGCCATTATTGCATTGCTACAAAGAAACACCTGAGACTGGGTAATTTATAAAGAAAAGAGGCTTAATCGGCTCATGGTTCTGCAGGCTGTGCAGGAGGTATAGTGTCATCTGCTTCTGGGTAGGCTTTAGGAAGCTTCCAATCATGGCAGAAGGCAAAAGGGGAGCAGGCTCTCATGTGGCAAAAGCAGGAGCAAGAGAGAGAGAGAGAGAACGAGGTGCCACACAGTTTTAAACAGCCAGATATCATGAGAAGTCACTCACTATGGCAAAGACAGCACCAAGGGGATGAAGCTTAAACATTTCATGAGAAATCCTCCCCTATGATCCAATTACCTACCACCAGGCCCCACCTCCAATACTGGGGATTGCAATTCAACATGAGATTTGGGTGGGGGCACATATTCAAACTATATCAGTTATGAACAGGTGAAGTGCCAGAAGACTGGTGTCTACATGGTAAGGATGCAATCATCAGGAGGTTACAGGTTGGTAATCTTCTGCTTGACTCCTGGCAAATTCTAGAACGGAGTACTCAATTTTTAGTGTTAAGAAGATGGCCACAAGAAGGGGTTAACAAAAACACATTAATAGGAATTCATTTCATTTATATTTTCTTTTTTCAGGGAATAAATGTTTAGGGAAAGCTAACAAATTGGAACAGGAACAAAATGAAATAAATATTTCAGTTTTGAAATAATAGAACCAAATCAACATGTTGAAATGTACAGGGCCAAATGTAAAATCTTATGCTTAGGTTGAAAAGAATCAAATCAACTATGCCAGTTGGAAGATATTGAGGATCCAGCATTATAACAGTTAAAGTTAAAAGATCTAGGCTATTTGGTTAATTGTACCTTTCAAGAGGATATCTCAAATTGTAACCTAGTATAGACACGTATCACCTCAAACAAGAAAGATAACAGCTGTAGCTCTCCTGGCAAAAGTCCCATTTTGAGTATTGAGTGGTCTTTTATGTATTGTACTTAAAGGGGGCAAAAACTAAAAGAAAGGAAACTCTCAGTATATGGAAATCATGTCAAATGATTAGAAGTTGAAGGAGCTAATTATAATGCTTAGGCCAAAAGAGACATATTATGTCTTTGAGTATTTGAAGACATAATATGAGATTGGGTTCCTAATTATCTTTAGCTCTAGAAGCTGAAATTACTACAATGAGGTTGTAGGAGAGAAAAAAATATCTGTTGCTCTACCTATCCTAGGTTCATGGCTAAGATCCCTGTAATAATAATAATTTATATATATAATATATATTGATATGATAGATATAATATTATATATATATATATATATACATCAAGACAGATTAACAAGAGAAAAGGAGACAGATTTATTTACTATAATATTTACATATCCTGGGAATCTTCATAAGGAAATGAAGGCCCAAAGAAACAGTTAAACCTGAGTATATATTATGGCAGTTTGATGGAGAGTAGAGAGTGTTGGAGAAATATGATAGGGTAAAGTGTATGGTTTAATAGTAACGTATTAGGAGAAGCTTTGAAAGGCCCCTGCATTCAGTTTCTTCTGTGTCGTCAGTTCATCTTCAGAGATCAGACATCAGACTATGGTCCTTTTCTCAGGGTATAGGGAGGACACCTCTCACACAAAGGTCTTTTGAACTCCTTCAGGGCAAGAGCAGAAAATCCTTCCTAGGTTTTATGACCCATATCAGGGAAGAAGGATAGGAGGTCAGAGAGTCCATCTGCTTCTGCCGTTTTTCAGTATGTCACGGTGCCATATTTTGGCATAGTGTATCCTGAACCCCATTATGGTATAGTTAAACACAACATTAAAATAACTTTAAAAAATAGATCTTCTAATAAAATTAATCAGCTGCCTGATGAGAAATATGGTTCTCAATAACAATCCTCAAATACAAACTAAGTGACACTTTGTTAGGGATATTGAAAAGGAAGTGCCAACATCAGGTAGGAGTTTGAAATACATCGGTTTTTCCTACATTTTAAACGTGAATATCCATTTTAATTAAGAAAAAAAAAGCCGTGTGTGGTGGCTTACGCCTGTAATCCCAGTACTTTGGGAGTTCGAGACCAGCCTGGCCAACATGGTGATACCCCCATCTCTACTAAAAATGCAAAAATTAGCTGGGAGTGGTGGCAAGCGTCTGTAATCCCAGCTACTCGGGAGGCTGAGGAAGGAGAATAGCTTGAACCTAGGAGGCGGAGGTTGCAGCCAGCCGAAATTGTGCCATTGCACTCCAGCCTGGGCAACAAAAGTGAGACTCCGTCTAAAAAAAAAACAAACAAAAAAACCCAAGTCTCTGTATACTAATACTTCTAGTATCCATTACATAAGAAAATATATAGAGTAATAGTAAAAAACATTTTATTTGGGTCCAGAACTATTGTCATATAAGTATTATTGAAATGACTCAAATGTATCTTTATACTTTTACAAAAATAGAATTCTCAAGACATATTTATTCCTCAGAAAATATCTGCTGCTTCTTTGAATTCACAACTCTCTGAAATAATTTTGTATTCTCAAATGTTTCCAGGGTCCACATTGAAAACTGAACAAGATAATAAAATTATGATTCACTAGGGCTGCATAGGGCCTGAGAATCTGCATTTGAACAGGCTCCAAGGTGGCTGATGCTGGAGATTTGCATCATATTTTGAGTGTCCATCAAGTATCTTCCAGGTTTAAAGTCTGTTTTATTGTGTCTCATTTGTATCCAAACCTAGAGCTGATACTGTTTCCATTGATAATTTATAGCCTAGTCCCCTGGCCTACTCTGAATCCTCACTATAGCATTTACTCAAGCTCTGTGATGTTGAAAACATTCCCTAAAATTTCTGGTTCCTTCATGAGATGAATATACAAGAATTAAATGAAATAATGTACGTACTGTGCTGAGAGTAGTACCTGACATAAAACATTCATTCAAAAGTTATGGCTATTGATAATTTCAATGGCAACGTATGTAAAGGTGGTGATGAGAAATTAAATGGAATGAGAATACAGACATTTTCTCCCATAAAGCAATGTGTTTCCTGAGAAATTGCACATTCAAAATAATAGAGTTTAGGCAAACAGACCACTCCAATTAACCCTTGTAATCAAAGCACTAAAAAACAAACAACAAAAAAGATGATTATGATGTTATGATGACGCATACCTGGAGAATTAATTTAGATGGCCCAGGCAGATAGTTCAGCATTGTTAAAAGCTGCCTCAGTGGATATTAAAACTCAGCAAAAGTGAATACAGTCAAAATATTGACAGTCCTTTAATTAGAGCAGCATAGGTGGATGTGGAGAGTCTGCAGTAGTAAGGCTTCCCTTAAGATGGGCAAAAGAGTGAGCAAGGTGAGATACCTGGAGTTCCAAGCCCTATAGAACTGGCCTGGGCTCTTACATTCCTTCCAACATAATTGAAGAGACAGCTAAACAGATGCTTTTGTGTTTCCTCCTGAAGATGGTAATTCCACTCTTGCTATTTTGCACCTTTCCTTGCCTGAGGGGTGAGGAGGCCAGGAATCAAAATCAAATATAAACCAACCTGACTCCTGCATTTCACCAAATCATTCCCCTTGACATTGCCAAACTAGTTACTAAGTTTAGTAACTGCAGCAGAACAGAATGTCCTGGGTTTTGTAGTCTACATCTTATCTGGAAGGCACTGAGAAGGAATATTTCCTCTAACCCTCTTGGATTCTCTGATATCCAGATGAATAGAAGATGATCTAGGTTACCGTGGTGGAGAAAACTTTGCAAACTCTTGAGGAATAAAAGCAAAGGGGCAAAACAGCCAGAAGCAGAAGGTATTAGTTAAATATCTCCCTTACATCCTCCATCTTATGGTGCTCTCCTCATAGATGAAGACTGAGCTCAGTTATGAAGCATTTTCTCCTAGTTTAAACCTATTCCTAAGCCACCTCTCCTCATCCCACGATACAGCTTCTGTGGACGATAGCAACGTGAACT
The DNA here is from genome assembly GCF_000001405.40 of Homo sapiens. Lineage (NCBI taxonomy): Eukaryota > Metazoa > Chordata > Mammalia > Primates > Hominidae > Homo > Homo sapiens. The sequence goes on from NC_000006.12 coordinate 22,706,644, forward strand.
GGGCAAGCAAGCATCTTCAAAGAGAGCTGAGAGGATCAGGTGCAACTTTTTGGTTGGCGACCTCATTCCTTTGGGAAGAAATGGATAAAAAAAATCAAAGAGAGGCTGCAGTTCTTGGCCTGGTATCTGGGCTAACTGTAGCTTTACGGCTCTGCCTTGATGTGTGTTTAAGCAGCAGCAGCCTGCAGTCTGGCACAAGGAGGATTTTTCCTCCACTTGTTTTATTCTAAATAGTTTTCAAAAGCTCCTGTGGAACACAGACTGTGGCTTTGATCTGGCCAACTTCTTCAGTACTGACGTTCCCATGAAAAACCCCAGCTCAGACCAGCTTCAGCCACTTTTAAAATTCTCATTTAAATTCAAATTCCCCCTAATCTTAACAGGCGAGAGGTAGACGAAGAGCAAGAAAGCGAGATGCCTCTCATGTGTCCACACAGCCCTCAGATCAAATAGATGCACCTAGGCAGCAGGGAGGGTGTAGAGATCCCAGAAGAAAATAGCAAAATACTTGATGTGGGCCATGTACCTCCTAGACCAGGGCTTCTGACTGACACTCGGCTCACATCAAACAGCAATGTATTTATGAAAGCTCCCTTTAAGATCTCTGAATGTTTTATGCCATATTTTTGGTTAAAATAGAAATAAAAGGCTTGATGTAGTGTGCAGTGTTTACAGAAAGAAGCATCATTTGCTTGGGTTCGTTTCATGGGCATTCCTGAAAGTTTATTGGTAGATTTTACTTTTTCCACCTCTATCCCCACAGCCTCCTCCAAGTTTACAATCAAAGATCGTCCCTTGTTCTTGGTAATTTGAGGAATCTTACCAACCTTAAAGATGCAGGGAGGTATTTGGAATTTATATGAACTGACAGAAGATTCACACTTTTTCAAGGATGTCGTGCAGGAAATATACAATCACTTTTCTGCCTTTCCTCTCTTGCCCCAGGGAAGAGGGCCTGATCTCCCATTTGCCTTCTTTGGTATACAATATGGTTACTTCTGGTTTTACATTGAGCCCTCCACCACCACCCCCAACCCCTAACTCACTCCACTATGAATTTGGTAATTTTTGATCACTCTGTATCTGCAGTAGAAGGCTTCTTAGCTAACCACTTGAGTAGAGTGACCTTGACTTATTCTGTGAACTCAGTTCTGGACTTATTCTGGAATAAGTCAGGACTGGACTCAGCTCCAGAATTTCCTCTAGTCTAGGCTCACTGGTCTTTCCACCATGACTGGGGCTGACTTTCATCTACCTTCTAGCTACTTCATGAGTTGCTTTTGGAGAAATAATATGGGATAGACTTTCTTGGCCAAAAATCCAATTTCTCCAGGAGAAAAGTTGACAAAGCACAAACTAACAATAAGTAGATTTTATCACTGATCTTTGAGATACGTTAGGGACACATTATGGTTTTCTAAGTTGCTACTCATTTGATCCAAAATTCACAGCTAAGAAAATATATATCATCCAGTGATCTGGGAAAGTACGATTCTACAACCTATTATTTTCTGAAATTATTCTTTCCTTTCTGCTTCCATTCCCTCTGCCTTAGATAAGGACCTTATTCTTAATTACTAATAACCTCTTAATTAGTCCATTTACTGTCATTAGAAAATGATGTCAAAAATGTAAAAATAGGAGACTGATAAGGCCTCTCTTGCTCCACTGTTTAAAATATTTCACTGCCTATCCAGTACTTACATCAGTATCTCCTAAGGGACAGGAACCAGAGAAAAACTTCAGCAAGTTAATAAATGGCAAAATATGATTTAGAAAACTTGGGCAGTGAAACCTCCTCCTGGAGGCTTCAAAGGCATTGATTTGGAGCAGTGATGGCCTGAATAAACTAGTTCAATCCAGAATTCTCTTAATGTATTTAAGCATGGAATTTCTTTTTCAAGTTTTACCTATTCAATATCTGTAGTACTAGTTTCCACAAAGACACATTGGGTAATGCTTTCTAGAATAAAAGCCAAGCTGCTTAACTGATAGCACGGGACACATTGTGACGGGTTATTTTCAGTCTCCTTATTAGCCTGGCTTCCCACCCCTTGATGCCTTTCTCTGTTACCTTCTACCTGAACAAGGCACACACCACAGTGTTGTAGTCCTCTGTGCCTTTGCAGTTGCCCATTCCTCTGCCTAGAGTCATTTTCCTCCCCTTGCTTGCCTGGTAAACTGTTTTCCCCCATCTTTTCAAACTCAGAAGAGATGCCTCTCCCCAAGGAGGATTCTTCACTGACTCTTGTCCAATAAAGGGAATCACTCCCTTCATCATTCTACACTATGCTTTGTTCACCTCATTTGCATTTTGGTTGCATTCATCATACTGGTTTGTAACTGTGTTTGTGGGTCTAATGCGTTTTAAAATTTATGAGAGATTTCATGGAAGGAATCTGTGTAATGAGTTTTGGGTTATGCGTGGAACAGGGTAGGAGCTTAAATGATGTTTGTAGAACAGGCGAATGGTCACATTTCATATGGTAGTAACATCATCTGGATTCTGAACTTCTGCTGGTGAAGGTATCTTAGGTTAGTTAACATATATACATCAAAAAAAGGCAAAAATGTTCTCATAGGAAAATGAGATGTATAAGGTATGTGTATATATATACACATAAATACATATGTACATGTATCTGTATATACATCTATAAATACATAATACACACATGTATAGTTTCAGTATATAAAAGGACACACACAAATGCACACACACACACACAAGCTTATGCTTATTCCCTCACAAAAATAATTTTCCCCAGCCATGAGACACTGCTATTTAATTAAGGATTATTAGGAAATACAGGAAGAGAAACTTTACCAAGGGCACTGAAACACATAGGTGGTTATAGAAATAAAACCTTGGTATTTTTATTCTTTACACATAACCTTCACTTCTACAGTCTCATCCAAACAACAGACCTGCAGCATCTTACACAGACTTCTATTTATCTACTTGGGCTGAGCTGACCCCACTGGAAATCGAACATTGCTGCAGATATTGATCCAGGCACATGGACACTGGCGAGGCTCCCTTTGTGTGAAATTTACAGAAGGGCCTGCTGGAGAGGGCATTCTAAGTACAGAAGCATCCACAAGACTGCTGCTTCCCTCATAGGTCTGATAGAAAGAAATCTGCGGCCACTTCTATCTGGGCAAGGGAATAGCACCACTGTGGTGCCTCACCGTGTATTGTGCTGAGCATGGCTCGGCTGTCCTGCTCACCCCTCTCATTCCTCTAGCTCCTCCATCTTGCTCTGACTCTTAATGTAATGTGACCAGTTAGTCATGACCTTCACATGCTGCACTGGTGCTCTGTTCTCCCTCTGCTCTGTCTCTCTGGCCTTAAGCTGTAGTGAACTCACTAAGCACGAGACTCCCCTTTAAAACATCTAACTGAAAGGAGTGTTGTTTGCTTTCTGGCCCTCAAACACCAAGGCACTGTTGTGCTCCTTAAAATTGTAAATTATGTCTGTTTAAGAAAATGTCAGTGTTTTTTAAAACAGAATAACAGTGCTGGAAAAGACTTGGCTGTGCAATTTGTTACCAAAGTTTCATGCAAGAAAAATGATGCATTCATCATTATGAGCACAGTCAAGGGTTCTAATGACTTGGGCACAATGCCTCTTCAGTTCTTTTAAGGAAAATGATGAACTTTTTTCTTTCTCCTCAGCAAGTTATCTGAGTAATGTAAAAGCTCATAAACTGAGATTCAGGGAGACACTGTCAATGAGGCACTATACTGAACAATTAAAACGTAAGACACATCTTGTATAATTAAATTGATTTTTTTTTCTGCCAGAAACAAGACCTTCTCAGGTAATGATTGCTTTGGTTGTCTAAAATTGTATGTATTGGGGCGGCGGAGGAGGAGATCTGTTGTTACATTTATACATCACTTCATGTGTCTCCAAAATCCAATTCCTAAATAGGCCAATAGGATGATTCTTAAGTAGGGAAGGGTAAATAGCTATGGAGGATCAGTACAATCGATGTAGTGTCACTGCACTAGGAAACATATTATTTAGCTACTTAGAATTTCAGCTCTGCAAGTGGACTCACAGGTTTAGGAAGGCGAGGGTGAAAGTGTTAGCAAATGGGGCTAGGCCTCTGATTTTGATGATTTCTCTGGACAGCTGGGACCTAGGCAAGGATCTTAACTTACCCGTGCGTTCTCCAGCGTCACACAAGCATGAGGTTGTCACATTTTGTGTGTGTCTGAAATACATTAAGGTCTGTAAATCAAAATGCTTCACTTTTTATATTAAAAATTGCCTTTTAAGGATAAGTATAACACCACACCCTCAAAAAGCACAGTGTCTTTTTGACCCCTGGGTAAATGTATTAAACTGGAATATTTACCTGAATTTTCCTTACTTGGCCTCCATTCATGCTAAGCAGCTGTTGGAATGAATACAAAGGGACTTGCCTGACTTTCTAGCAATAAGCTTCATTTTTTTTCCTCATGGCTTGAACACATTATTTAGTGGATTGAGTTTTACCTTTTCCTGCAGTGGGAGTGGCTGCTTTTCTGTTAAATATTACTGGGTTTTATTAAGAGATATTAAGAGAAACCCTTGCCATATGGCAATTTCAAAGAAAGAAGGAATTAAAAAAGGGAGCTATGTTTGCTTTTATTTTTACCGGATGTTTGAAAAGCTAGAAGTAACCCAGAGGAGAGTAGGCCAGGGGTTTTGTGTCAGTGGGTGGAACGCATTTGCTGTGAAATGTGATGGAATGTTTACTGAGCTATTTTCCTCAAAAATAAAAATGTTCCTGCTCTCATATCCAGTTTACACAGCAGTAGCCTTTTTAAAAATGTTGCCTCCGCGATGGGCGGGCAGGCTTCGTGTTGCTCTCTTTGGAAGTAATGGCTCAAGGTTGTGCCTGGCTACGCTCACACTGTTGGGCAAAAGCACAGACAGATACGCTCCATTTCCAAGCATGTGGGAGCTGAGTTCCATCTCTTTCAGGTATTTACTAAAGACATATCTAATGGATGGGAGGAAATCTAATCCTAACAATGTTTTCTTGCTGTCTAGGTTAACATATGTGTTTCTATGCCTGACTCTCAACCTTGGACCTGTACCTCTGCAATCACTTGGCCCTGGATGGATGAGGGAGGGTGGCATGTGAATAGAAACTGGACCAGGGAGACCACCAAGGAATGATGTGCCCTCGAGCAAGGTCCTCATTCTCTTTGAGCCTCTAGATTCTGTTAGAAGAAAGCAATGATACCATCTAACCTGATTAGGACAGTTATTTATTTGTAATAATTCTATGCATATAGAAAGAGATGGAATTTAATATAATAAAATCATAGCAGTGGTGATGTTAGTGGAGTGGGATTTTAGGAGAATCTGGTCTTCCGTGTCTCTGGATTTTCTGTAATTTTTCCTACGCACACACATGCATACTTGCACACACTAGTGACAACAACAACATTAAAAGGCTTTTGGGCAGGTCTTCACAATGAATAATTCATATTATTTACTCTTCATATGCACCAATACTCTTCAGTCAAAAAAATAAAATACATATAAAATACCTACAAAGTATATATACTCTATCATACTCCTTCATGGATTGTTTTGAAATTAAATGATTGAGCAAAAGTGCTTAATATCTTATAGCTTATTTTATAGGTATTAATTGTTATTTTGGAAATTATATTACCATTACTATATTGCTATCTGAAGTAACTAGTTTGTCACAAACATACATATACACATATATTATATGATTTTTATATTGTTATCATGTATCTCTCTCTATCATCTATCTATCTATCTATCTATCTATCTATCTATCTATCTATCTATATCTCCAGTAATTTGAACACTATTTGGGGTATTACATTTTTATTCATTTAGTGAGGGAATGTTAGTTAAAACTTTATTTTGGAAATGTGAAGATGAACTGTTTTGGAGGCTAGTTTTAAAAATTAAAAAGTGTGTTTTTTTAAACAACAGCAACAAAAGACCAGATCTTTATGTTGTCTTAGTTACTACCATAGTTTTAAAACTTCCATGTTTTCCAAGTCTGTGATTTTCTCTCTTTGAAATTCACTTTAGATGTCTGAGTGCCTTTTTTTTTTTTGACAGAGTCTCGCTCTATTGCCCAGGTTGGAGTGCAGTGGCGCGATCTCGGCTCCCTGCAGCCTCCGCCTACCGGCTTCAAGTGATTCTCCTGCCTCAGCCTCCTGACTTTTTCTTTTTCTTTTCTTTTTTTCTTTCTTTTTTTTTTTTTTTTACAGTGGATCCTGCATTAGAAAACCACCAACTTATTGTAACTTTTAGTTAATTATAAAAAGATAACTTTGTCATTGTTCAATCTTATAAAACAATGAAACCAAGTATAAACTATTTTAAGTAAATTGCTTTTATGGGATTTCTCTTTTCAGAATTGACTGTGGCTCCATGGTTTGTTGTAATTAATTAAACCGTGTTCATTTGGAGTTTTGATCAAATTAGCTAAATATATTTATTTTATTCTATATTTGACCAAAAGTTTGTTAGTATTAGCGTCATCTAGATTTTAGAGACAGTAATAAAAACTGGTCAAAATACTAAGTGGGAAAGTGTACTGCTGTAGCTTATCAATGTTAGAGCTTGAAAATACCTAAAAAACTGAACGCAAACAAGTAAACAAACAGAAAGAAAAAGCAAGAGCGCTAAATCCAGACGTATGCATACAAGCAGTATAAATTACCAGAAAAAACACTAGGTCAAGGTAAGGGGGGCATGAATTCCTAGTCCAGCTTTGGAATTCCCATGTGGATTTAGGTGAACTGCCCCTAAGCCTCAGTGCCCTTTATTCACAAATAGATTTAATTGGGCCAAAACAGTTCTGTAGGAAGTACCAATAGAAGGGAGTGTATGTCCTGTGCACATTTAATTTTGAACTATAGAAGCTCTATTTTTGTATGTTTTATATATTCCTGTCTTATGTACAGTTCAGTTTGGAGTGAAGTAAGTGTTCTCTGTTTAAAAACTATTAATGTATACATATTCCTCTCTAAGTAATCACTGAGACAGGCTGGCCTCCTCTAATACATGATTTAGGATACTCATTGTGTAGAGAAATCCTCGTATCTGGAATAATGTGGAGAATAAGAGTATGAATAGTGAAAATGATTCATTTAGTCAAATATTTATTGGTATCTACTATATGATAGAAAACTGAGGTCATAAAACAGCAAATCTTAAAAGGAAGTTCTGGATTGGAGTTAGGAAACCTAGAATTCAGTTGGGTCTAACCACACTAGCCCTGTCACCTTAACAAGTCAAATTTCTAGAGCTAGCTTATAATCTGATTTTCTGAACATATACCTTGTCAAATGTTGCTTTGGTTTCTAAATGTCCACCTACCCATTCCCTCTTATGGCAGCCCAAATATACTAAAACTTCCTTCCTTTTTTTTTTTTTTTTCTGAGCTAGAGTCTCGCTCTTTTGCCCAGGCTAGAATGCAGTGGCGTGATTATGACTCACTGTCACCTTTGATCCTGGGCTCAAGCGATCCTCCCACCTTGGCCTCCCAAAGTGTTGGATTTTCAGGTGTGTGCCACCAAGCCCGGCCTCAGACTTACTTCTGATAATGTAACTCTGACTATACTAATTCGATTTAATTACTCTATGATTTTAGGTTTTAGTTTTCTAAAAACTCCTTTCCAGCAAATTTTTTACTCCTCACTTGTGTTCGTTTTGTCTATCATTAAGGTATTATTGCTTTACTCCTAACATGGGAAGCTCTCAGCTCCTTTAAAACACAACTTTGGGAGGGAAATGCTTGCATCCACTTGCATCTACTTTTCCATGAATTACTTGAACAAGTATTTGTCCACGGCAGGAGGGATTGAGCATGGTGGGATGGATTTGCAGAGTGTCTATTAATAACAATGATGAAGGGACGAAAAGCGAAAAAGAGACTGACAAGTAATGATCACAAAAAGAGAAAAGAGAATTTTCCAAGTAGAAATACAACACATGTTTCCTGACCTTCACAGAGGAATTTAAGTTTATGTCATTATAAAGCTCTGAAGATATTTCAATGATTATGATGGACAAAATGGAGCTCTTAAATAATCATACAGGTATGTAGCAGTTCATACTTAACATTAATATAGTATTATAGAGTATTATAAAAGTTCAAAGCCTGAGGTCATCTTTGCTAGATGATTTCTATGTCAATGAAAACTCAAATGTATAAGCCAAAAAGATTGCATGCACTGAGCTATCATCCTTCTCACATTCTTATATTTATGAAAACTTGTGCTAAAATTTCATTATCACCAACGTTTCTATCCTAATAAAAGAAAAATAACTCACAATAGAAAGATACCCATGCCAGTCAGTGGGCAGGAATACACTACGCAATTTCACGTCTCTAAGACCACAGATCAAAATAAATTACCCCACTTAAGGCAGACAACAGCAGGAGGACCTGACCTGGCCTGTGGTCCTATCCACTCCCTTTTCTGTAGGTTTTTGTTCATTCTAAATATAAGTGATCAGTTCTTACAAGTTTATATTCAAATAAGGGTTCAGAAGTAAATAAATGCATCTCTTCATTCAGTCAAGTAAAGTAATCCAATTTTCCTAGTGTATGCACATATGTTAGTGGTTTGCTAATATATATATATATTTTTTCTTTTTTAGAAATACATGTGCTGTGGCTTCAAGGGTGGAAAATTTTACACACTTATATAAGTAAGGAGGTTTACTTGTAACCCTTTTGCATATGTTTTGGAGAAAACCTCTTTAAGAAAATAAATATTGCTTTAGCACCTAGAAATACATATAAAATACTGTGTTTAAATATCTCTCTTCCAGACCCTCCAAACAGTAGTATCAGGCCAATGGTTCTTTTGGTGCCTCGTCTTGGCACTGCGTTTATTCTAAAACATATTCTAGAAAACACCAAGTAGGTATGCCAGTTATGACCTTCCAAATACATTCCACTTCTCAGCATGCTAGAATATATTTAAAACAGATTATATTTTCCTTCTGTGTTTCAGTTTTCACAGTTAATAAGACAGGCATTTCCATGGCTGACTTGCTGTTTTCATGGATAGCAAATATTCTGATTAGTATTCCAGATGCCAAGTTTACCAAATTTTATTCAGAATAGGAAATGCCATAGAAATTAAAGGTTTTGCCTCTTACTGTTTATAGCTAAAACATCAAAATAATAATATATAGCTAATATTCATGATTGTTCTGGTAGCTGCTGTTTCTAATGAAATATCCCTTGAACCAGTGTGCCTTGAAAAATATTCATGTGATGTAGAAGCTGCTGAGTTTAAAAAATATCTCCTAGCACTAATCTTATATTTAAAACTGTAACATAAAATCTTGCTTTGGATCAGAGAGATGACAAGGAGATTTGGAACAATGACTCTCCTGTCATTTCAGTCCTTATGACCTAAACTTCTTTGCTATTCTATCATATACAACAAACCTTTTAATACCCTCTCCAAGTGGGAAATAGTTGAAGGTAACGTTGTGTAGGTTGCTGGTAAGATTTTCCAACTATTCTTGGGAAACTAACATAATGAGTTGTGTTTCAGTACAAGATCTACCATAACTTCCTAACCTCTTTTTTTCACAGGGAAAATGGACCCAGTGTTTCAAAAAAAAAAAAAAAAAAAAGGAAGCTCAGGCATTTTTTCCCTCATTTTGACTCATCATATGTTTTATGATGTTATGATATTAAACATGGTGTTGTAATAAATAAGATCAATAAAAGTCAATAAGTGATTGGATGGGAAATGGAGGAAAATGTAGATGTTATATGGCAGTGATGATGGAAATAGGTATTTCCAAGAGGGATGATAGTGCAACTTGTGGGTCACATGAATTTGTCATACTTTCCAAAGATCAGTCAAAAACTATAAAAGGGATCCTTTTGAATTTTAAATATTGTATTCTTCATAAAATGTCGGCTAATTTCACTGTTACATGGGCTGACAGGTTTATTTATTAAGCCTAGAAGTTTTCTTCTTAATTAGTTTAATAATAACATTTTGGGTTGAATGCACTATAAACTTTATTTTGAGAGCACCTGCAACTGGAAGAATAACCTGAAATTACATTGATAATGGGTGTGTAAATTGAGCTGTTTTCCAGATCTGATGAATTTTTCTCTATTGAGAATTTTCCAGAAAGAAATATATTTCACTCAGTCTGGCATACAATAGCTAGCACCATTTTCCTGTCTCATACTCAAGGTCAGTTTGATAGAGGATGTGAGAATGCATAGCTGATTGGCCAGCTATACTGCCACCCAGTTAATGTTTAACGATGGGTGCTGGCTTTAGCAATCTTCATGGGTATTGTTCTGTCTGGATCCTTATCTCAGGCTGGTTTATAGTTAGAAGAGTCTCTAAAACTTTTTGAGAATTATTTATTCATGATCTCTGGTGGCTATAATTTCAGTTTAAATCCAGAGCAAAGAATCAGCATGATGCTATCTTCTTTCTCTAGAAGTTCAATAAATTGAAGAGAAAGTAAATTGCCATTAGCAAGGAAATTCACATTTAAAAAAAAATGCATGTCTGTTAGGATGCAGTGGCCCAATATGCCTTCAAAAAGTAAGAACTCTCTTCTTAAAGGCAGAATCAGGTTCATGACCTAAGAATCTGCCTTCTTATACTACATCAAAGAGAAGAAAGAAAAGAAGGAAGGAAAAAGGAAAGAATTTTATCAGGCCAAGAATTCCCTTCTTCTTTCCTTCGTTCTCTTTAATGTAGTATAAGAAGGCAGATTCTTAGGAAAGACAAAAAGAAAAACTGAAAGAAGGAAGGAAAGAATGAAGAAAAAAGGAAGAAATAAAGGCAGAGAGTAATTAAGAATAAGCTACTTTTTGAAAGTTATCCAAGTAAGTTAATTATAAAAGCAAAATAAATGTCCAGATCTAGTCACATTTACACAAATTAGCATTAAGTTCTTTTTCAGTCATTTGTTAGTTGTCATTCATTCATTCTTCCAAGCTTGTGCTAAGAGCCGGAAGAATGATAGAAAAGACTCTTACCATATAAGGCAATGGTTTAAAACCATGGGCAAAACCCTACCTTTGAATACTTGACTGTCAGCAAAGTGACCTCCACAAAGTGCCATCCAATTTCCATTCCCCTTCCAGCTTCTTTGATGTTTCCAGGAACTGATAAAGTATGCCTTCTGCATTTAATATTTATAAATTGGTTAAATGTCTCAGGCTTTGGTCTAAGCCATATAACATAGGGCAAAGAATGAAAGAGGTTAGTCAGATCAGAGAGAAAAGCAAAGAGAGAAAGGGTCTCAACAGAGCTGTAGTTATTTTCTGTAACCAACTGGCCCTCGAAAACAACTGACATCCTTAGTCAGATGCTAAGCATGTGATGTGGAATGGCCATGGCTGGCACCCTTCACAGAGGATCGTGCGTCTCCACTGTGCAGGTGTTTCTGCTCCTGGAGGCCTGCCAGCCAGCAACCTGATTCTCTGAAGGGATCATACACAGTTGCCTCCTAGTTAAAACGGGACACTTATGCAAACACAGGATCCACTGTTGTTAAATTGAGTTGCTCTTGTTACCTTTCATTCTCTGGTTGTAAATGAGAGAAGCAGATGCTGGCAATGCAGGCTTTACAATGCTTGTTTTTCTACTCATTTAAATCGGCACCCACAGCTTCTACATAGAGACTACATAGCTCTGAAACGATGCATGAAATGGAAAAAAATGGGAACAATTTTTGCCCTGAATGCCCAGGTCACAGAAATTACAGACGCAGATTCACACAACAAATGGTGCTAAGTCTCCATTTAGTTTCAGCAAAGATTTAAGCTGACTGTAGTTGGTTGTGCCAATAAGCAGATAATTGAGTCAAAGGAGAATAGGGACTTAGGTGTGTCCCCTTCTTTGACACCATCTCATATGAATCTTTTGAAGTCCTCTCCTTTTTTCCTACACCACCTACCAGTTTGTACTCCTCTATCACATTTCTTCCTGATTTTTGCTTTCCTTTTTGCTATGTGCCCTCTCCAAATATTCAAAACTTTATTTTCGTGCACTCTTTTCTTCCCTTCTATTTTATTTTTCCTTGAAAGTCCCTTACACATAGCACCTTCTCAGAAAGCATATTAAAGGGAGGCAGAATAAGAATGGGGTCATAGGGTTTAAGTATTTATTAAAAATAGAGACATATTCAAGAAGCAAAGCCACCAAATGACCCCTCTCTATAGGTGCCAGTCCATGTATTCTAAAGAAACAAAAGCTATGCTATGTCACTAAAGTTATGACTATCAACCGATTGTCTGCTGGAAGTACTTAGGATAGGTCACTTTGCTAAGCAATGTACGCTTGTCTGTGAATACCCATAAAACTGGATGGGGTTACTTCCCAGCTTTCTAGCTCTCACTCCAGACCTGTCTCTCTCAGTCTAAGAAGGAGATCAAATACAAGAGTAGAAGTTGTATTGGGAGTATAACAATGAAATTTATTTTAAATAAAGCAAGATCTAAATTCATACTGCATTTTAAAGGTTCTGCTTCTCAGAAATCTTGCTATTCAGATGTATAAATGAGGCTGAGCAGGCTTCCCTTTCTTTGTGGATTGTTACTTGATCTTTGAGAATTTATGGGGTTTCCAGGAAAAGTGTAAGATTTGACATCAGGATACTGGCCTTACTGTTCCAGCTGAGGCATCTACCAGTTGCATGAACTATCTACATTACTTTGCTTCTCTAAGCCTGTTTTATTTCTATTTTTCTTTTTCATAGTGACAAAATTGGAATAAATTCCTTTTGAGAATTGAGTGAGTCAAATGAGATGAAATGTGTTCAAGACCTTTTACAATTAAGCAACTGTGAATAGAGAAGACTATCATCTATTCTATGACAGTAGCCATTACTACAATTTCAGATGTCTAACCTGTAAGAGATTCTTTTAACTTCTTTAGAAATCACCATATTGGCATATACCCATATATTTTCAAAGTGAGAACCTGAGATCAGTATAAAGAGTCTGTTTCGCCTGGTGACTAGAAGCATGAACTTTGTAGCCAGACTGTTTAAATCCCAACTTGGCTAATTTGGTGTTTTTTCCCCCATTGGTGAAATGTGGATAATAATACTGCCTACAACATAGGAATGATATGAGGATTCTGTGATGCATAATGATCCATAACATTTACTGAATTAAGAGAAATAATGTAAGATAAACTGTGACCTGCTCCAGGATTTTATTTGCACAACTACTGTCATTGATAGTCTAATCAAGTGTCGAAGGCTGCAAATACCATTTGATTTTAGAACTTTTACACAGAAATCAGCACCACAAGTTTCTTATGCTGCTGATAATATTTGAATCCTTTCTATTTTTACCTTCTCTTCCCTAACAAACCACTTCCCATGATTCATTTTTATTGCAATCAAACAAGTGCTGCTCTAATGGCATGTAGAATTTAATCAATTAATGGAGTTCAATAGGCCATTTCCAGTTGCAATATTTTGAGAGGTTAATTTTGCAAACACCTGAATACTTTGGAAGATTATAGAACAGCCTGAAATTACTGAGTAGATGCCTAATCTCAGTGGACTGAAAAGAAAGGGATCAATATATAAGTGAAACCTTTTCTCTACCAAACGTCCTTGGACAAGTTGCTAATTCCCCACTGAAGCAGGATCTTCATCTTAAATATACATTGCCAGGTTGTTTTAAAAAATAATTGTTCTGAAAAATTGTTCGTGCCCTGGCTATATTTATCATGTATGCTAGCTTCCTTCTTTACCGTACCTGCATTGTTGATTCCTGGAAATAAACAACTATTCATGACAAAAAAAATTATCATTCAAACATAACATAAAATACTATCAAAGTGACCATAAAAACAACAATAGCAACAACCAAAGAGCAAAAGAAAGAGAAAAAAAGGAGGTGTGTGAGTGCGTGTGTGTCTGTGTGTGTGGGTATGTATGTAGATAGATAAGAAAGATAATTGTTAATTGATTCTTAGACATTTCATTTAGGTTTTTGGATTGCTGATTAATTTGACCAATACATTTATTTACTACCTATATTATAAAGAATGGTTTATAGCAATAGTCATAGAACATTGTTAGCAAAATTAACCTTTTTATAACTGATATGTTAAAAGTAAGAGTTAACTAATTCATAATAAGAATTAACTGGTTGGCTATGCTTTAACATTTTCCACGTAAGACACAAATTCAATTGAACACATTTCTTTGCCCTTGAATTCTCAGACTTTCGTCTACATTAGAATCACCTGGAAGGCTTGACAAACACAGATTTGTAGGTCCGTCCCCAGAGTTTCTCATTGAGTAGGTATGGGGTACAGGTCAAGGATTCGTATTTGCAAAAAGTTTCACAGTTATGGCCGGGCGCAGTGGCTGACGCCTGTATTCCCAGCACTTTGGGAGGCCGAGGCGGGTGGATCATGAGGTCAGGAGATCGAGACCATCCTGGCTAACACGGTGAAACCCCGTCTCCACTAAAAATACAGAAAAAAAAATTAGCCGGACGTGGTGGCGGGCGCCTATAGTCCCAGCTGCTGGGGAGGATGAGAGAGGAAAATGGCGTGAACCCGGGAGGCGGGGCTTGCAGTGAGCCGAGATCGCTCCACGGCAGTCCGGACCGGCCTGGGCGAAAGAGCGAGACTCCGTCTCAAAAAAAAAAAAAAAAAAAAGTTTCACAGTTATGCTGATGCTGCTGGTTTGGGAACCACACTTCAAGAACTGCTGTCCAATAGTTTCTTTTCAAGCAATTCATTGTAAGGTAATTGATTTTTATTGTGCTAGGCTGTTAACTTATTTGGCTTCCTGTGAATCACATCCTCTGGGTACCAATGCCCTTTGCACGAATATGGGATGGGCTGGTGGCTTGTTTTAAACAATAGAATGAGGCAGAAATGATGCTGTCCTAGTTGTGGACCTGAGCTTTGAGATGGTCTGGTAGCTTTTACTTTTGTGCTAGTAGAAAGCAGCCAGCACATGAAAAAAATCTAACTACTTTGAGACCCTTATGTTTGAGAAAGTTCAAGATAAGTGCATGGAGAGGCCACATAGCAGAGAATTGAAGAACCAAGCCAGCAGGGAGAACAGGTCCCAGGCAGACAGCCCCTGCCTGATGGCTCCCATCATCCAGACAGCATAAATTTATCTTACGGGTGAGGCCACTGTAAACCAGCTAGCCATCAGTCAGCACTAAGTAAAGCAGAAAAACTGCCAGCTCAACCCATGATCATGAGAAATAATAAACTGTTTTTGTTTAAGCCATTCAGTTTTTGAGGTGACTTTTTAAGGCAGTGTTAGAAAGTTAAAACAAAATTTGTATCTGCAAGTACAATGTGTCTGTAAATGAATCATGTGAAATTAGTGGGTTTGGGGACTAGGTGGCAGTCCCTGAAGGGCTGAAGGGCCCTGAAGCCTGAAGGGCTTCAAAGAAACTTTTACTATACACTGGAACAATATTTGGGAAATTGTTCTTGGTGGCTAGAGGGAATGGGGCTGGTGGAAAAATGAGTGAGGCTTCCATCTGCAGTAAGGCTGATGATAGAAATGATACTTAATGACCTTGTGGCTCGGGTATTGTGATTTCCGGGCAGAACGTTGAAGCTATCTATTTTGACTTTACCTATTTATGACAAAGACAGGAAGAACAAAATAAATTACAAAGGAAATTTTAGTTTTTGAACAAAATTAATAATCAATGTGAAAAAGCCAGGATTTGCTTCATTCAAATATAAATCTGGTTCTTGGCCAGGGGTGGTGGTTCACACGTTGAATCCCAGCACTTTGAGAGGCCAAGGTAGGAGGATTACTTGAGGCCAGGAGTTTGAGACCAGCCTGGGCAACACAGAGAGACTCCCCTCACTACAGAAAATAAAAAATAAATTAGTGGGGTATGGTGGCATGCCTGTAGTCCCAGCTACTCTGAAGGCCAAGGTAGGAGGATCCCTTGAGCAAAGAGTGAGGCTGCAGTGAACTATGGCCGTACCCTTGCACTTTAACCCAAGTGACAAAATGAGACCCTGTCTCAAAAATATAAATAAATGAAAATTAACCTGTTTCTCATTCTCAGCTATTCCAATTGTCGATAATTCTCACAGTAACAAATGGCCTGAGGACAAAGATGAAATCTGGTTGTGGCATTTGGGGTAAGGTCAGGTTTCAAAACCCTTTGCTAATTTCTTTGAAACACTTTAGGCAATACTTCCTAGATTTTCTCTACTAGACTACAGGGTTCCTAAGATCATAAAGGCATGACTCGTGGAACTCCTCAGCAAGAAAAAAAAGGACTTCTAAGAATCATAAGACATTGTTCTACAGCTGAGATTCAAGAGGGTTTTTTTAAATAGATGTATTGTTATGACTTTTGTGTATTTTATTTTAATAGGGTAGACTTTCAAAAGATTCATTGGAAACCTACAAAGCCTTTAAGGTAATTGTATTAGCAGAAGCACTACCAATTTGGATTAAGAGGGACAGACACAGGTTAAAATAAACAGGGGCCTTTGGATGTTAACTTCCTATTGACAGGAAGTACTAAGAAAGCAACCCATCTGCAAATATGAGTCAATTATTATGGAAAAGGAAGGATAGATCAGAGAATAGAACCAAAAACCACTAAAAAAATTTCCAGACATTAGAATTGAGCCCTAGTTGAGGAACTATTTATTTATACCTGGATAAATTTTAGAATTTTTTGGACCAATGATTACTACGTGCCTCTCATATTTTCTGTTTTTGAATGGGAGAATTTATTGTAATTTTCCTGTCCCTGGTTTACAATTGCATGTTGTGGATATGAGGGACAGATTAACTTGTCTCACATGCTCACAGATCTTCAGATCAAGAGAAGCTAGGCCTTAAGAATCTCATCTGCACCTGGATATGACCTAGGTGATGAGAATCTGGACTTCAAGCCTAAGGCAATGCTCTAATAAGATGAGGTTTTATTGGTCTCAGGAAAGAGTAAATATATTTTCCATATGGAAGGGACTCAAATCATGGAAGGCCAGAGGACAGATAAACTTAACTGCAGGAAAAGGCCATGTGTGGCAGCCCCTGAGCTTCTGGCTGACAACTGGCATTGGACTTGTCAGCCAAGAGAATCAGCCATTGTGGAAGTAGACCCTCCAGCCTGAGTTGAACCACCTTAACTGACACCATTGCAAAGATCATTTCAACCCAAATTGCATAATTATCAACAAAGAAATTATTGTTGTTTTAACCCATTTAGCCCAGTAAATTTTAGAGTACTTTCTTATGCAACAAGAGATATTTAAAATGTTTTGTCTCTGGCACAAAGACAGATTAGAGTATTTTCTTAAAACTACCATCTCATCCCTTTTCCATAGCTTGACTCCTGGGATTCCTATTAGGTTTTGCTCATTTATGAGTTTTTCTAGAAAACACAGCCCCAGTTTTCTTTCCACATTAATCTTCTTCCCCCCTCTTCTACTTCGCATTCATCACTTGTTATGGTAACCAGTGGATACATTCACAGTCATTAATTAGTTTTTTTTCTGCTTTCATATACTGTATCTAGCATTCAATTTTAAAATCTTATCCTCACAGAAACCATTGAAATAAATCCTACTGAGTAGTGCTGGAATCTGTTTGGTAGGGATGGGGTTAGGAAATCTTCTCAGCCTCTGAGTTCCCTCTGGTTACTTTCCTAGGCTCAGAGGATGCATAAATGGTGCTCACAGGTGATTGTGCAGTGCCTACAGGGTACAAGCACATCTGGACTCTATCTGTCCAACCATCTCCAGTCCTGAACAACCAAGAAATTA
The DNA here is from genome assembly GCF_000001405.40 of Homo sapiens. NCBI lineage: Eukaryota > Metazoa > Chordata > Mammalia > Primates > Hominidae > Homo > Homo sapiens. The sequence continues at coordinate 22,724,444 of NC_000006.12, forward strand.
TTTTGCTCAGATTGCTTTATTTTAAAGCCTACCAAACTTCCAGTTTTCCTTTAAAGTCAAGTGGTTGACTCATTAATATTTTATTTTGGAGGATTAAATTTGATACAGACAGGATTTTATTTTTTGAGAAATTGTAAGATGTTCAAAGGCGTGAGATAAATTCTTCACCTTTGGAAAATGTCAAGGCTAAGTTAATATTCTTCTTGCCTTCCAAATATGGCTCTATTTTATCTTCTAATGATAAATATCAATAAATATTCAATATGTGATATATTGCAGCACTGAACGTTCCTATGGTCTACTTAGTTCTGCTTCTTTCATTTATTCACTTATATATATGTCTATCCAGCCATCAATATTTCATGGTCATTTTTTTTCTGAATAGCTCTATATTAAGGATTGAAATAAACACACAAAATAAAAAGTAATGTCATGACTTTCATGGATTGAAAGAAATCCATTTCACTTTAAGGGATCTTGGAGAAATAGATGGTTCTTGAACTTGATTACTTTATATTTAAGTAGTTACTAAAAGGCTTTAAAAAAAGAAACAGATATTTAAATAGTATTTTGACACATCGTAGAGTTCTCTGCAAGTTTGTTGAAACCTCAGTGAATGAATAAATGAGATGAATAAATGGAGTATCATCTGAGTGCTTACCTAAAACCTAGGAAGATCAAAGGATGCCAAGGAAATTCTGTTTTCTAAATTGGGGCATGTTTTGCCTAGTTCAAGTTCTTTTATCTTTCTCTCAGCCTCACTTAGGAACTTTTAGAATCTGTATATTGTTCTCCTTCACCAGGAAGTCAAAAATAAGAGAAAAATAAGAGAAATACGAAAAAGCATCTTTGCTTCGAGAAAGAATAGCCAATGCTTCCAGATAATCATATAAAACCCTTCTTAAAAGAAAAAAAAAGACTTGAAGCCACTAACAGAGGAAGAGTTATTTTCTTGGAATTTATACTAACCTGTCTTTTAGTAAGTCTCAATTTGAAAGACTGAGTAGAGGCCAGAACTGTTAGAGAAAAACAGAGTATCAGGATTGGAGAGGGCCCCATGTATTATTAGTTGTGAAAAATAAATCCTATATGATTCTTTAACATGCAAAGACGGTAAAGGGAATAGAAATATTTTGATTACATGTGGCTGTGTAACAAATTACCCTAAAATGTAAGGGCTTAAAAGAACTACTCTTGCATCATTTCTCATGATGTCATAGGGGAGTGGTATGCTGATGTTACAATGTCCAAATGGCTTTTTCACTCACATGCTTCAGACATGTATGTGGCTCAAAATGGCTCAGCCTGGGTCATGTGTCTGGGACTTAAATTTTCTCTTTTAGTTGGGCTCATTGGCTGTCTTCCAGTAGTCTAAGGGTTTCTGTTTCTCTATAGGTTCTCTTCACGTGGCCTTAACACACATGTCTCTAGCAGGGATGCCACACTTCTTACACAGAAGCTGGGGCTCCCAGGAATGCAAAAGCAGAAGCTGCCAGGGCTTCTTAAGCTTTAGGTCTGAAATAGGGCAGCAATATTTCCACTGCATTGTATCAATTAAAGCAAGTTTCAGGCCCACCTCATATTCAAGAATAGTGTACTACACGAAGATGTGAATACCAGAAGGAATAGGCCATTGTGGCATTCCAACATAACAGAAAACCAAAATACAGTATTTAGACCGGCTAACTGGAGCCCAAAGTCTAAAACCAAAGTTGCAAAACATGCATTTGACTCCTGCAAAATGTTTAGATGGCAAGAAGAGAAGATCATCATAGAGTGACTGATGCTAAGTCTCCCAAGAATGGAATAAGTAGGGAAAAAAATGCGCTGGAGAATGAGAGACTATTTCATTTGTCATCTTGAACATTAATTGTTTTGATTGAAATCATCCTTTTCAATATCAGAGAACAGAATGAATTTTACCATAGTGTTGTAAATTATACTCTAGAAAAATCAGACTCCGTAAAAGTATTCTCTATTTAAGGAATGTGTGTTTTCCCGCAAAATTTTTATCCTTGGTGCTTTGTCATAAAAAATTATAAAATAAGAGAAAGTAAGGAGAACACTACTTTAACTGAATCTTATGTATTTTAGCTGCGGGCTGCAGCTTTACAGGGGTAAACAAGTATCCAAAGAGATTTTAAACACGGGAACACCACCATTTACATCTTTTGTTCTGTTTTCTTGCATGTCGTACAAGGTCATGCCTAAAAATGAATTAAAGGGCAACTGTCAAGATGATAGCTTAAAAATAATCTTTTCTGCACTGCTTCTGGGATGCTCAACTGTGTAGTTTAAAAAAAGACATGTTTAATCATCTTATCTGGTTAATTTACATTAACTCATTGTAAGATATTAAAAGAATGACAGGGCAATTCATACTTATTTTTTGTATGTTTCACTATCTGTTGCTCTAGGACTAACTCACTTTTACAAATGAAAGTTGGAATAGGTAGCAAAAACATTGCAGGGGAAAAGAAAATCTAAAACACGACTTCAAGTTCCTTACAGAATAATTTGTTTTCTTAACTTTAAATTCTATTTTCTATTTTTTTATATTATTTTAACATTTCAAATTTGTGTCTAACCTCACGTGTAGTAATTTACTCTAGGTTCGCTCTAATTATAGTCCCAGTTTCTATTTTCCTGCCATATAGACTCAAAATACATTTTTATGCAGCTCTGCAGCTGTGCATGAGATGAAATATTTGAATCGCAACTGATGTTGTGTGTGCTTTTCACCCCAGGAGATTTCTTTCAAGAAAAAGCAATGGCCAGGATGTCTCAGCATTTCTTTATCAGTATTCACACAGCTTTTATTTGTGGCTTCATTTTAATCCTCGGGCATAAGAATTGGAGCTCTAAATGTGTACTCTCTGTTTACATTATATAAAATGGCCAAGGAAGAGGAAAAGGGGGGAAAAGAATGTAGAAATAAGATTTTAAAATATGATTGCTGCCCTGATGTGAAGAAATTAGGTGTAAAACGATAGCCAAAATTTACATGTGTGCATGTGTGTGTGTGTGTACATTTGTGTGTTGCAACCTCTTTGTTGACTCATAATCAACACCATTTTCAAAAAAGCTTATTAGCAAGAATGCCTATTCTACTTTGATACTTCAATTGTGATTTTTTTCTTAATTTGCAGCCTTGGTGCGTATGGATATATGTACACATGATACACATGATCACTTATCATTAAAAGGAACATATTTGATTATGTTCCTTTACTAATAAGGTGACTTCTTTGTTTGTCTGAAAACCACAAGATAAGTCAAGACCCTTCTCCCTTCTCTTACCACCAGCGTTTTGAACTGCTCTGAATAATCTAAAGCTCTGTTCAGCTTGCAGCCAGATGTGAACAATCACTGCTTGACACGGAGTACAAATAACACCTACTCCAGCCATTACTCTTCAATTGGAGCTCTGCTCTTGATGGAGGCTGAGATTGCTCTGGCTTGTGTAACTTGCACATGGACAGTAGTAGGCACAGAGTGAGAAGGAGGTCAGAGTGTTTAGGCTGCAAGCTAGAGACCGCTCTGCTCTGGACGTCTCCCAAATGAGAGTGGTCTGTTTTAAAGTGAAGTGCGGTCACAGGCCACAGTTCAACCTGAAGGACTGAGTAGACTAATGTATTTGGCAGACTTAGACCCGTTAAAACAAAACAAAATAAAAAATAAAGTGAAGAAGGCTATAAGCCTACTTTGAAACCTAAATGGCCATTCACTTTCATTTATGAAAAGCTTCGGAAGTCTTCTAACCATCCTAGGCTAAACTGTTTATGGTTCATGGTGTTAGAGAAAATGGAGTCTTGACATTCTGTCCTTGCATGAACCTGAGATCTAGAAGAGAATGAAAGAGCCTGGAGAGCAGAAGTGCTATTCCCTTAGCAAGCTGCTATGCTTGATGGTCGTGGTCAGAGCTTACCAAGATCCTGGGATTGTGCTTCAAAAATAAAACTAACAACCCTTAATTCCATGTAGTATTGATTGGCTTTGTTTCTGCTGCGTGAGTCTTTTTTTAAATTTTATTTTTAAAGTGAGGTTGCAATCATTGCTTCCTCCTGGATGTTGAGTACTTTTTGTAAAGAATAACAGCATGTTCCACCCGCAGAAAAGGCCCCTACTGAGTTAATGCTCAAGTCCAAGGGATCTGAGCTATACAAACCAGGAAAACAGGTTGTCTTCCATTGTGCTTTATTCCTTAATTATTTCTGTTTTATTTACTTTTGCATCTTAAATGTTGTTTTTGCCAGAATTGAGATTGTCTTCTTTTAAATCTTCATATTGAATTAATTCCCTCAGAGAAATATATGAAATGTTTGCACTTAACATGGTGAAAATAAACACGGGCCACGAATTGCGGTTCATACTAGTGAAGTTCGTGGTTCAATGATTAGAAAAGGAAAGCAAAAAGGAGAGCAATGTATCCTTTAAAGGAGGCCTGGGTTGCATAAGAAGATGTAAAATGCATAAAAATTTCCTGCCTTTAAAGATCATTTAGAAGTGAAAACTGGAGGAGGGAAAAAATGCTGTCATATTCCTGAGACAGAAAAGAGAAAACTCTCAGTGTGAACTCTGGCTCCATTGAGTACTTGTTGCTGTGATACTGTCAGACTCTGTTATTGGTGGCCCACAGGAAGCCTGCAACTCACTGACTGCCACTAGTTAAATTAAATTAAATTGTGCCACCTTGGCTCCTAGAGCTATGAATAGACCTACCCTAATTTGTTTCACCTTTGGGGAAAATCACCTGTTATAAGTATGCTCTGTGAAAAGGGTACTAGATTTCCCTTGAAAATAATCTTTATGTATTGAAGCTTTTCAGAAAGGTAGAGCTGCTGAACATAAATAATTTAAGAAATGATCAGATGAGATATAAACATTAAGAATGCTGATCCAAATGTACATGCATGTTGAAAAAAATCTAAAAATTGAAATTATTTCGTTAATTCAGTGATATATTTGAAGGTGCACAGATCTTAAATGAAGATCTTGAATGTTTACGTGTTGTAGAAACATTTTTAACCATGCACAGATCAAGATACAGAACATTTCTTGCCCCTTAGGAGGCTTCCAGCTCACCTTGCATGGCAAATGTGCACCCCAAAGGGAGCCATTATTCTGTATCACCTGGTTTTGAATGTCACACAAAATAAAAGATATGGAGTTCACGTATTTGTACCTAATGTCTTTTACTCATCATATATCTGTCAAATTCATCCCAGTTGATACAACTGGGAAGTATATGAGTAGTTGATTCTTTTATAGATATATAAATTAAATTATATATCTCTAATTTATTTACCATATCCCCATATTGGAATATATATATATTCCAGTAGTTCATTCTTTTATATGTATATAAATTTATATATATTTATATTTATATATTCCAGTATGGGGCTATGATAAATAAAGCTGCTATGAACACTATTGTATATACCCTTTGGAGGACAAAGCACTCATTTTGGACAGGTACATACCCAACAGTGAAATTACAGGTTATAGAGTATATTGATTTATTAGGTGCTGCCAAAGAGTTTTCTAAAGTCATCATACCAATTGACACTCTCATCAGCAATTCAAGAGTTTTTGTTGCTCCACATTCTACCCAACACTCTATATTCTTAATTGTAGCCATGCTGCTACTTGTTAGTATATCTTAATTTATATTTTTCTGATGAATAATCATGTTGAGCATCTTTTTATATGTTTATTGCCCCAACTGTTTTTAAAATATAAAATTTGGGAGTTTATGTGATTTGAATCTGTGTCCCTGCCCAAATCTCACGTGAAATTTTAATCCCCAGTGTTGGAGCTGGGGCCAGGTTGGATCATGAGGGTGGATTTCTCATGAATGGTTTGGCACCATCCCCTTGGTGCTGATCTCAGGAGAGTGAGTGAGATCTGGTTGTTTAAAAGTGCATAGCAACTCCCCACTCACTCTCTCTTGTCCCTGCTCTTGCTGTGTGAACCGCTTGCTCCTGCTTTGACTTCCACCATGAGTAAAAGCCACCTGAAGCCTCCCCAGAAGCAGATGCCACCATGCTTCCTGTACAGCCTGTACACCTGTGAGCCAATTAAACCTCTGTTCTTTATGAGTTACCCAGTCTAAGGTATTTCTTTATAGCAGTGCAAGAACGAACCGACATAGAAGTTCAGCTTAAAAATTTACTCCAAGAGGCCTGGGGATCATATCAGTTTCTTGGCAGTGAAAACAAAGGTGAGAAAACAAAACTAAAGTTTATTTAGTGCCTATCATGTTGTGAGAACTTTAGATATGCCATCTCAATTAATTCTTTTAATGGACATATGTGGTGTTTTTAATGGCTATAAAATTCGTAAGTTTATGAATAGAGTTCATTCAGTTATCTAATCTCTCTCCTCCTTCTATACCCTGATATGCCTTGATTCTCCATTATCCTCATGTAAGTTGGAGATTAATGTGTTTCCTTATTTATGGAGAATGATGGTTATTGCTATGGCTTCTTGATAATATTTCCTTAACCTATTAGCAATCTAACATCATCAGGTGGGATGGTTTTCTCTATGGTTTTTGGTTTTTGAATTTTCACAATAAATCTCTATTTCCTTTGTAATTGAAAAAAAAAACTGTAGAGTTATTTCCATTTTAGGGAAAAAAATCTCTTCCTTCCTCCTGGCTAAATGAGAAACCAGGTTCTTGCCTTCTCAAATTGTATTATGAGAGGGTAATCAATGACCTGTTTGCTTTATTACTTATTTTCAAAGGCATCTCGGCTTGCAGCTTTAAATTAATAAATAGTCTAGTCCTAACTCTGAAGAAATCAAGTATCTTCATTATTCTTTTTAATTTCAGAAATTCTCCCTTATTTCGGGTTTTCCTTTTACAAAAAAAAATTCTCATATTTATACTTAGTCTTATGGACATAATTAGCCTATTTAAGAAAAAGATAGTGGATATAAAATAACTTGAGAGGAATATCAATCATCTTCCTAATCTCACAAAGAAGTTTATGTGGTACCTTAGGAGGGAGTGTTTAAGTTTGTTGATGAGGTCACTGATGTTATTATTGGGTAAGAAATTTCCTACATCTCTATTTTCTCTTCCTCTCTTGCCCCTACAACCCAAAACAAAACAAAACAAAACCCCAAAACAAAAAAGAAGAAAAAACTTTACTAAAAAAAGACATTTAAATATTTTTTTAAAATATTAAAACACACACTGAATATTAACCAAAGACTTTCCTGTATGGTTCTGAAGAATGATGAAGGTAAACTGGCTAGGTCAAGTGAATATATGGAGGTTTATGCTTTCAACATTTCACACAAAGCTGGGTACGTAACAGATACCCAAACATCCTTGTTTGATTTGTCATATTTTTCCTTGTCCAGATACTTTTAAATATCAGAGTTGTCTCAGTATGCTTGCTTATCTTGCATCTAAACAAAAGCCTGTTCATTTTTGGTATCGGTTCTTTTTACTGCAAAACTAAAAACATCTTTCTTAAACCATCATAATAAACCACTTCAACTTCTGAAGTTCCAGAATAAACCACTTCAACTTCTGAAGTACCAGGTCCAGATCATTCTTTAATGTCTTCATTAAGGATGAATACATTATCCCTAAGTGTCACCAGGAGCAAATGCATTAACTTCTGAGCCCCCTTGGATAACGTCAAATGACATGGCATAACTCCAGCTTGCCCATATTATGTATTTCAATTTTGGTATATTTTGTATCCGTTTTTCTATGTGGCATAATATTCAGTGGTTGGAGGTGTTCATCCAATTTTAAACCCACATTTTGCCACACATTTGAGTTGATTATTGCAATTGAGTCAGTTGAGAAAAAGCCTATGGATTTAATATAAATGTGCTATCTTGTATTTGGCAATGGCAATTGTATATTTGGATAGGCAAGAGGGCTGGCTGCCAGCTCTCCATGGAGGTTGCAATTTCTGATGCTTTTCCCCTAGTCTGTTTATTTTGACCTTAAAGTAACTTTATTAAGTTAAAGAGTCAGCAATAAATTTCTGTTGTAGAATTCAAAACACTCACATACTTTTTTGGAGTAACAATGTTTGTCTAGTGGAGGTTGGAATAATTCAGCTCAGTTGCCTACAATCCAATCTTATTTGCAAAGATTGAACTGGATTTTCATTAAGAGTAGGAGCCAGGGGCAGCAGGGGTGGATGGGTGCCGGGGGAAGCAGAACAAAACCAAAAGGAGAGGTCAGGGAGAATATGGGCGAGACAGTGATCAGGTGTTTGCTTGGAGTTGCTGCTCAGTGCATGGAGAATGATATTTCTCAGCTGTTATTTTAGATATCTGTGGGTGGCTATTCTGAGATTTATGTAAGGGCTGGACAGGATATGAGTGGGTGTGACAAAGACGTGGCTTCCCAGGAAAAGCAACCAAACAAGAAAAGGGCATGATAGAAAGGCATAACCTTCATTTAGAGGACAGTTCTTGTATCCCTGTAGATTTGAAATCTTCAGCTGTGAAGGTGTGCATACAAGGCCAAGGGAAAGGACATATGATTTTAACCAGTATCTCTTGTTCAGCTTTGAAATTCATTATATCAATGAGTGAGATATAATACTTTCCACTGAAGATGCATCTCTCATGGCAGTATACTCACAAATGTGACCACAGGCTGCAGAAACCAGAAGGGAGGAAAACCATAAAGGATTAATCGAAATGAAATACAACTGGAAGGAGAATCATCATGTCTTCCATCTTTTTAGCTTCAACAGGAACTAAGGTTGAAAACAAAGTGTGAAGTCTTTGGAATATTTGAGAATCCATCATTGAAAATGAGAGCCAACTACCTAATAAATAATAAATAAATATTTCCCTTCTCCCAAAACCCACAAAGAAGTTCTGATTTTGAATACTAGAATGGCTCTAGAAGCCCATTTGGAAATACTTTCTTGTCCTTATTTATCCATTGATTCAGTAGACATTGTTTGGGAACTTGCTACTGCCAATGTCTGTGCTTAGTGTGGAAGTACAGAGATGAGTAAGGTATAGTTTGTTGCGTTTAAGAGTTCACATTCTGCTGGGAGAGACAGATACATGCAATATTAGAGCTGTGCACAGGATATTATGGGAACACTAAAAAGTTTTACTTACAAGATAAAGAGTAGCAAGAAGAGCAATGTGAAAATTTTATGGCTATGCAAGAGTCATGCCAATGAAAGAACAAAGGAGTAAGGGAGAATATTCCAGGAAACAGGGACTCATTGTGGGAAGGCTAAGGAAAAAAAATTTTTTTTTAAAAAGGTATAGCACAAGCTGTTTTCTTTAATCCTTATAGAAAGTTTCACATTTGTAAATTTGTTGGGCAGGAAGATAGAAATTAAACTGAAAAGACAGGCAATGGTCAGATAATAGGATGCCTACCTTTTCCTGCTAAAGACTTGAGAGCTAGAATATAGGACCTAATGGATGGTATAGGCAAAGGGGAGTCACTGAGGGCTTTAACCAGGGAAATTGATTGAATTTAAGTACTTGATATGATTTGGCTGTGTCCCCACCCAAATCTCATCTTCAATTGTAATCCCCATAATCCCCATGTGTCATGGGAGGGACCCGGTGGGAGGTAATTGAATCATGGGGGTGGTTTCCCTCATGCTGTTCTCATGATAGTGAGTTCTAATGAGATCCGATGGTTTTATAAGCGCCTGGCATTTCCTCTGCTGGCACTTATTCTCTTTCCTGCCACCCTGTGAAGAGGTGCCTTTCACCATGATTGTAAGTTTCCTGAGGCCTCCCCAGCCATGCGGAACTGTGAGTCAATTAAACCTCCTTCATTTATAAATTACCCAACCTCAGGTATTTCTTCATAGCAGCTTGAGAGCAGACTAATACAGTACTATAATCAACACTGGCTTTTATTCTGCTTTAAGTGATTAGTTTAAGGCAATGTTTCCCAGACTTATCTGCACATTAGAATCCTCTGGGATCTCTTGAAAATTCCAAAACCCAGACCACATCCCAAGCCAATTAAGTTATGATCTCTGGGGATATATGTTGGGAACCAATGGCTTAATGAACAAAGTTTAAAAGGGAGTGTTATTTGGAGCAGATGGAATTGACTTGAGAAGGGTGTGCCAGTTATTTATTTTTTTTGCATATGCATTTTTCACAACTCTTAAACTTCCTAGTTTTTAAGTGATGGAGAATGGTTGTTGAAACAGGGTCAAGATCTCTTAACAAGATAAGAATCTACTCAGTTTTGTTCACTGCGTGGGCAGTTTCTGTCCAGCTAGTATAAGTAGGAGATTGGGCAGAAAGGATGACTTTCCAGAGACTACATCTTTGGGTCCATAAATTTTTCTTCATTTTTTTTCCCATAGAATCATGTCCCTTAGCAACATTTTTACTATAGCACAATATATTTGTACAATATTTATACTTAGAGCACAAATATTCATTTTTATCACTATATGTGTCTAAAGAGGCATTACATACCACATATATCAATTATGGGAAATACACTATTTCTTTGCTACTCAATTCAGATAGGGACCACATACCATATAAAATGAGCTTTTCTGTTATGTCCTGGGTCACACCTTTTCCCACTACACTGGGTTCAAAACAGAGATTTTTTTTTTTTTGGCCTTTTCTTGGATGTTGAAGAGGCAGGTTTTTAATTTTCCTTTTTAGTTACAAAATTCTATTTAGTTAAAAACAAAATACAACAGTTGCAGACTGTGAACTCTTACTGGTCTAGCTAGTGACAAGTACGGAAGCTCATCTGAGATACAGGATAAAGATAGTGATTCCACGTGCCACATCCAGATTTGGTAAATTTAACATGTTGCTCAGAAGTCTTCGTTGTAAACAAATATCTGTTTGTTCTGATTTGGTTTGTTGTCACTTTTTTTTTTTTTTGAGACAGGGTTTAGCTCTTTCACTCAGGCTGGAGTGCAGAAATGTGGTCATAGCATACTGCAGTCTAGAACTCCCTGGCTCAGGTGATCCTCTCACTTCGGCCTCCCGAGTACCTGGGACTACAGGTGTGCCCCACCACATTTGGCTAATTTTTGTATTTTTCTGTAGAGATGGGATTTCACCATGTTGCCCAGGCTGGTCTTGAACTCCTGGGCTCAAGCAATCCTCCCAACTCAGCCTCCTAAAGTGCTGGGATTACAGGTGTGAGCCAATGCACCTGTCTTGTCACTTTTAGACACACTGACTTTGGCAATAAAGATGTAAAGAGAAATGAGGAAGTAAAACATGCCTTGAATGTGTTTTGAACCAAAACAATTTTTTGTGGCTTCCATATTTGTTTGTTATAAGACATTGTGCTAAATTTGAGTGGTTTTCTCCCATCAGAAATCCTAAGAAAAATATTTAAGGTGGTTCTTCTTCTACCTTTTAAGCAGGCTCTCCTTTCCTTTTTTTCTACCCTTTCATGAAATGTTTGCTTTTCTCTCATACCCATACTGTATTTGTTGGTGCTATAGACTCTCTTCATTCCTTATCTTTGTTCCGTATCCTTAATCCAATTTTCTAACTTTTCTTTTTTCCTCCTTCCCTTCCTTTCTTCCTTTTCCTTCCGTCTTCTCTTCCTCCCTTCCTCTTTTCCTCTCTTTCTTTTTTTGCTTACTTTCCTGGGGATCAGCCATTAGGGGCTCTACCTGGTTGGCCCAGCCGATGCTGTCACTAGAGCCAGGTGAGACTTTCTGGCTTCTATGTCCATGCGGTAGCAACTCTGTTCCACAGGCTGCAGACTGCAGCGGAAATGAGTGTTGGACTGGAAACCTCGTGATCTAGACTTGCTTTAACATTTAGCAACAGGCTGCTCTTGAACAAACACCGTTTCTAAACTATAGTTTCCTCTACAGAGATTTGGAAAAGGTATTATCTATTCTGCCTACTTAATGAAGTTATAATGTAAAGAAGCAAAACTACTGGATGTCACAATAAGTTGGAAATCTCCAAAGCCTCAAAAATACCCAAGGCAGTGGTTCTCAGTTTTAGCTTGCATCAGACTCACCTGGAGGACTTGTTAAAACGCAGCTTGCTGGACCTCACTCTCAGAATTTCTTCTTCACTGGGTCCGTGGTACCCGGGCATTTTCATGTTAATGCTGCTGATGGCAGTATCAGTGGTTGAGAACATTGGTCTAAGGCATTATTATAAAATGGTCTAATCTCACAGTTTGCATCTGCTCTCTGTGATTCCCTTAGATCTAAAATTCAGAGATGCCATTAGGAACATAAAGGTGCTAAGAGGAATTTGAAATGACCAGGAGCGTAGGTCTCCAGAAAGTGCCTACCAAATAGGAGCTAGAAGCAGCTGAAAACAGATTTCACCTGAGGAAGCGCCACAAATTTCTAAGAAATTATATTTTAGACCTTGTGTTTCCTTGGATGATGAGTTAATTTACTTTTCTGGGCTATGAAAGTAGTCAGTATTATCTTTTAATTGAAGCCTAAGAAGGGACAACTGAGAAGGGGCCTCCTGCAGGCCTCTCTGCTGCAGCATGTTTAATGGCACAGTTCTGGCTTACTCTAATGAAGAGGAACAGGACACTGTCAGCTTCAAAGAAAATTTTCTGTGCTTTAAATGGTAATGCGGAGAGCATAGTAGATAATTTTAGCTGGAAAATCAAAATATGCTGTGACACAGCTATAAAACTCTTTGCTACGAAGCCAATATCATTCTGGCTGATGGCTATTAGACCTCACAAAAGGAGGTTAATTAACGAAACAAACCAGTTGTAAAACGGTCTGAAGGAAGTCTGGTGTGTTGCGTCAAGCTTTGAGGTGCCAAATGAGACTACATCCACCTAAAAAGAGGGGAAGCTGGCTGGATGGCAGAGAAACTCAGAACGCCTGTAGATTTGTATCTAAATCTGGCTTCTACGGCATATCTACGTGTAGTATGTGTGCTTGACCAAACATCAGAACAATCAGGCCTTTGAAGAAATGATGGGTCAGCCTAATTGGTCTTTCCCAAACAGTTGCACATACTGTTAAATTAAAAAAGAAAAGATGGGTCAGCTTAAAGCCATTCGCATGACTTGGATTAGCTGTCAAGTTCCCGCAAAGGCCAAAGCCAGGAATCCTTGCTCACTGTTTCTTCAGGGTACAAGGATGGGTTCGACTGGCAGCATAGCTCTTGGTTGCCCTCTGCAGGGACAAACATCCGAAGCTTTTTGTCTGGGGAAAAGACTCAAGAAAATTGCAGGCCTTGGAAAGACGGATGGGCTTGAGGCAGTAAATTTCAAGGCATGTCTGGCTCTTTAAGGGCCTATCCAGTGTGGGTGCTTTAACAAGCAGGCAATATTTTCAGGAACTGAGTTTAGTGCTTCAGATGTACAGGGGATTTGCTGACTTGAGGAAATGGAGTAATTCAGGTCTGGGGCAAATAGGAGAATATGAGAATTATTTCTTTTCTTCCCCCTTCATTGGAAGGCTACAGCTTGTGTGTGGTGGGGTGGGGGGTGGGGAACGGAGGGTGGAGCTTTTATGATAAAACAAAAAATAATACAAAACAATATACACACACAACTCTTGTTTTTATATATTTAGTACTGATGTCAGTGGAACTAATGAAAAGCAGATTGGTCACAGCAACATAGAAAATCAATTCTCGAGCTTTCTCTTATTCAGGTTTTTGATAGTACATTGCTCTCATCTGTTATGTGAGGGTCTCCAAGTGATTTTCCAATGAGTTGTTCTTTAGAGAAGAAATGAAGACACTGAAGACACTTGCTCTGGGTCATACACAATAATAAAAAGTAACCTCTTTCTTCCAATGAATGCTTTCTACGGCCTTCGATTTCAAGGCTGACATGAAAGAACTTTTATAATTCTCTTCCATGAGGCTCTTTCCGGGTAATAGAAGTCATCAGCTGAAAAATGAGATATGCACATTATACGTGCATTCATAAATTAATATTGATCAACTCCTCAGATATTTTATGACTTCATGGTGACCTAATGCTTTGTCATTTCCTCATATATTAGCACGACTTGGAACTAGTAAATGTGGCTATGTAACTACTTGTTCAAAGGTGGATGAAAGACTAAGTCTCTAGCTTATTACTAAAGAGTACACATTTCTCCTAGACACATTTGCATTAACATGTCTTGAGGAAGTATATGGAGGGGAAAATTAGGGAATAGGGTATAAACGATCTCTAAACAGAAGCCTACACTTTTGCTATTTCTCTTTGTTAAAGGCAGATGAAAGCATGCTCAGTCATTTTGGCTGAAAATGCAATAAGAAATATCAGTGGGGCAAAGGTAGCATAAATGCTCTATAGATAGCTGTTTTCCCCCCTCCACAAACATGAGAAAGAATATAACATTTGAAAGGAATAAAAATAAAGGGCCTCAGTTTGGCTCTCAGTTTCCTTGTGTACAGTAATAAAGTTGAGTAATAGCAACATATCAATGTGTGTTCCACAGGAATGCAAATTCTATCGCATGTAAGTACGCATCCCCCAAAATAATTCCATCATGATACAAGTTTGAGGAAGACATGTTTAGTCAAATTGAACAGTCTTATTTACTGCTGGACTTCTTAGGCTTTCATAAACCATTGCACATCAGGGGTTCCCAAGAGGTGGACATAACATAGTGTTTCCAATCTTTTTGACCACGCCACCATTTTCTCCACGTTACTATGAAAATATTGATATTGATTATTGTTTGTTAGTATCTTGTCCAGACGTCAAATTATATAAGTACCTGTTCAGAAGATGGGCTATAAAAAGAGACAGTTTGAAATGGAAGATAGATGGAATTAACCATGTACTTTGGGCCATAATAGCCTTATTTTACATTTTCACAACATCACAGCAAATAATTTTTTTCCTTGATTTTCCACATGTTGCTTTTCAAGGATAAAGAAACTTAAGGAGGAGAAAAAAAAGTCGCTAGTAAGAATAGAAATTAGATATTTACATGCCGATGAAAGGGATCTTAGAGTCAAATTGGTAGCATCTAAGAGCTGTCATCAGCAACATATTACTATCTTTCAAGGCAGCAAAATATCTGACTGGAAAACCCAAGCTCTTCCCTATCTTCATTTTCCACCCTGGCCATTCTCACAGTATGACAATGCCAGGCAGGTGCAAGGCACTGAATCTATTTGAACCCTTACAGTGAAGACAGACAATGTGGAATGTTCAAAAGTGAGCCCTTAAGATTATCAAGGAGTTAAAAAACAAACCCAGTCTGGAAAGGTTAAATGAGACGGGATTTATTTATTTATTTATTTTGTAAAGCATGGAGTAGAGTAAGTAGAGTTAACAGCATGGAGTAGAGTAAGTAGGGTTAATAGTCAATTCCCTTGTGTGCAGTGTTATTCGACAGATAGATGAAGGTGATCAGCTAGTTTCCTTTGCCAGCAAGGAAGGAAGGAGAGAAAGTGTTCTTATGCTGTAGTTGCAAGAATTTATTTTAGATATGGGGAATGGTTTTCTTATCCTGATGGTTTTGTTCCATGATTGCAGTTACCATTTAATTAGGTCAAAAAGGTAGTTTCCTAAAAGACACTTTACCAATATGTAACTAATAATATTAACCCTTATTAAATTATTATGATGGGCCACTTACCATACTGGGGACTATTTAGGCATCATGACATTTAATTTTCATATGCGCTTTCTGAGAAATATAATTTTATCAACAATTTATAGATGTGAAAAATACGGTTTATAGATATTAACTACCATCAGTATTTAGTGGAGTCAGTTTTCAAACTCAGATCTGCCTGACTTCAAAAGCCAAGCACTTGACCACCGTAATGTACAATTTCTCTTGTTGCACTGTTTCAGTGTAGGTCAGTTAGTGTTTATTTGAGTTTGTTCCTCAATAATAATATACAATGCAGATTAACTGTACTATAGAGACCAAAAGAAATTTAAACCAAGAACTGACTTTGCTCTTTCTTGACACAGGGAGGCAAGTGTGATCTTACTGAAGAATGAAGAGTCTAATGTAGTGGTTCCATGTTGTTTTGGGAGTTGCAGTCTGGGTTCTCAGGGATCTTCACTACCACCCCTCACCTTGCCTTGACTTGTTACACTGATTCTGCTGCTGAGGACAAAAGGTGGAAAGCAGAATATAATATCAAATGCATAGGTCTTGATGGACAGGGTCTGTAATAAAAGGGCCCTGGGGTGCTTTATGAAAGTGTGTAAGAATGGGAAGAAGTTGGCTTAGAAAGATATTATGTACATTAAGTTCCTGAAAGTCAATCTCAGCTAGGTGTGGTGGCTCATGCCTGTGATCCCAACACTTTGGGAGGCCAAAGTGGGAGGATAGCTTGAGCCCAGGAGTTTGAGACCAGCCTAGGCAACCGAGCAAGACCTCGACTCTACAGAAAATTTAAAAAATTAAAAAATTATCTGGGCATGGTGGCATGTGCCTGTAGTTCCAGCTACTTGGCAGGCTGAGGTGGGAGGATCAATTGGGCCCAGGGGGTCAAGGCTGCAGTAATCCATAATTGTGCCACTGCCCTACAGCCTGGGTGACAAAGAAAGACCCTGTTCCAAAAAAAGAAAAAAGAGAGAGGGAGAAAGTCAATGTCACCTTCTTATACAAGACCTAAGAGGCTAAATTCAAGCTGCCTATAACTTTGCTTGAAGGTTTACATGGATTTGTATAGATGACTATTTGAGAATTTGATTCATGGTAGGTAATTCTGTGATAAAAAGAGAAATAAATAAGAGATGCAACATCAGAAATGTTGTCTACAAGTTCACTGTTTCACCATAATTTATGTTAGGTAAGTCCTAACCCCTTGAAGTATATGTGTACACAATGTGGATGACAGCATGAATAATGTTTTGGACTGCATGCACACTAAAATGGCTATCGATAAGTAGCCAGTAGTCGCAGCCATTTACTAATACTCATAGTTTTCTTAGCTCTCTCCTGGGAAGAATCCGGCAGGCCTTTCAGGAGACGCCCCAAGAACCTGGGTTTGGCATCAGCTAGGCCTCACGGTGCAATGTGCAGGTGTTTATTCCAAACTATAAGTCACGATGCTTTTCCATCCTGACCTCATTCCTTGAATCTGCAGTTGTCCTGTGTGGAATCAGAGCAAATCCTACCATAAATCCAAGTTGAAGAATCAGAGCAAATAATGGAAAGCCTCTGGTCAAATTGAATCCAGGGTGTGAGGTCAAGCAGCCAGAGCCAAGAAATGTTATGTGAGGATATCTGAAAATATATGGATAAAACCGAAAGAAGAGTCTGTAGGAATGACCCAAGAACAAATAAATTCTTCTGAATTCTTGCTGGGCCCATCTCTCCACATCAGGGAGCTTTAGTCGAGTTCCGAAGAGCCTGGAATCTTCACACATCTCATTTCCATTGGCTTGCATGTGATTTTTATAATTTCCCCTGGATCTGCCTCCTGTCTCACTTGAAAGAAAATATACTGAAAAATGGAATCTAGTGTCCTAATGTTTGATTATCCTGCTCACTTGGCAACCAGTCTGCTAGGACCTCAAAAGTTGCCCTTGATTAGGATTCCAAGTGCATAAATTGATCAACCAAATTATTTCCAAGATCATTAGCATCTTAACATTGCTCAGAACAATGTACTTAATAGGCTTCCTTTTTTAATTGTCCTCAATCGCTACTGAAAACTTGCACAACTCTGATAGCCTTGCCCTGGCTACCCTCTCTCACTAGATAACTGTTTGTATCTCATTTGACCAAAAAAGTAAAATAAAACAGGCTCTCAAGCCTATCCGAAGCCCTTCAACTTTGAGCCTCCAAATTTATATCTGCAAAGGTCTTATCTTTTTTAATCTCCAAAGAGTGACCTGTGTCTTCTCTAAAATTGATCCCTCCGCCTGGGCATCGAATCCATAACTGCCTTTTTCCTCAGAGAACTTGTTCCAGCAAATAACCCCATTCTTTCCTACATCTTCAACTCCTCAATCTCCATTTCTCTTTTCTCCTGGCGTATAAGTATGGTGAAGCATCACTCATATGTTTTTTAAAGACCTCCTTCTTCCACTCTTTGTTTTTCTCTTTTAGCCAAGCTTCCAACTTTTTTATTGTTCCCACTATCTTCTCTTTCATTCACCTGATATCAGTTTAACATAATCTGGATTATTTTCTCATTAATCACTGAAACTATTCCTTTATGAGTATCAGTAGATGTCCAATCTAACATCCGCTTTTAAGCCTTAATCTGACATGATTCCTCTCTGGTATTTGACACTCCTTTCTTTTAGAAACATGGTTTCCATGGTTCTATTTTCTTATTTGTTTCCAACATTTCTGGCTGTTCCTTATCTCTAATTTCAGGTCCTTTTCCTCCACTTTCCTCTAGATTTTGGAGTTATCTCAAAGTTCTTTCTTTGGTTTCCTTCCTTCTCCTTTCCTTCTTGCAGTGTACTTAATCATCTTTTCCAGTCTTGACGTCAGTAACAACATGGTAGCCAATGCCTCTTAAAATTTGATCTGTATTTCTGTTCTCTCTTCTGAGCTCCAGAAAGATGTATCTGATTACCTACTAGACATGACCATTTGGGCATTGTACCCATATTTCAAAACCAATAAACCATGTTCTAAAGTTTGAGGTATTTCTTATATGGGAACAATGAGGTGAGGAACAGTGAAGAATTGTGAGAATATGAACATTTCCTAGGCCCAAATTAGAAGTTACAGAACATAGATTTGAATTGGTGATGGCTTGATCTTAGCCTTAAATGCATCAAATATAATCTTATATAAAATAAGAAAAACCAATTACAAACCGATTGAGTGCATATTTGTGCAGCACTTATTCATTGATTAAAACAAAATGTCAATGCAAGATCAAAAAAATGACTGGTTTACATGATGTGTGAACACTGTGGGGAATATAAAGGAAGCACTTATTTTCCATTCCTCATATTTCCACAGAAGAAAGAGAAGGTATACTGAACTCTCAGGGGAGGAAAATATGATATAAAGTTTCTTTGTGCCCCTCAACAACAAATCTTCATGTCTGGTAGAAGAACTAATTTGATCACTGAATTATGGAAAAGAACTGAGCATGATGATCTCTAGAGATCTCTCTCTCCTTGTCTTTTTCTCCCTCTCCTTCCCTCTCTTCCTGTCTCCCTTCTTCTCTTCCTCCCTTTTACTTGCATCTGCCTGCCTGCAAAAAGGCAACATCTAATCTGGATTGTTTCTCTGAACTTCTGGGAGATACATTTTATTTAGGAAACTTATTAGGAGGCATAATCATTGGAGGCATTTCCCCAGTTCCAGGTTATAGTGTTAATTAAACTGA
This sequence comes from Homo sapiens, assembly GCF_000001405.40. Classification (NCBI taxonomy): domain Eukaryota; kingdom Metazoa; phylum Chordata; class Mammalia; order Primates; family Hominidae; genus Homo; species Homo sapiens. The sequence goes on from NC_000006.12 coordinate 22,743,698, forward strand.
TATTTTGACTCTATTTTTTATTTCTTTATGTCTATCTTTTTTTTTTTAAGTTTGCCAAGGGAAATGTGTTGGCACTTTGGAAGTGAATAAACAACACCCCTGATCACAGAAATAAAATGTGATAAATATATTCATAAACTTGTGGCTTCAGAAGTTTCTTAAGATGCATTTTCATTTATATCTCTTATTAAAACATAAGGATTGTTTTTAAAATTTTGATTATCTAAAAGGAATAACCATCTAAATTCATTTATATGGTCTCGGTAGAAATTTTATTATGTTTTATGTATTTATTATATACTTACATGCTAATAAAATATAAAAAACCAAAATATCTAACACTGTCCTGTGTAAGAAATAATACTATCAGTTCTTGAAATATTTTGAAAATAAACTTCTTTGATGTAACAAAAATGAAAGTGATGGAAAAAGCATTTTATGTTGATAGATTGAAAGACTTAGTATTTTTAAGAGGACAATACTTGAATCAATCTATAGATTTAATGCAATAACAATCACAATTTCAATGGGCTTTTCTGCAGGTATAGAAAAGCTGGTCTTAAAATTTTTATGGAATTTTAAGAAACCCTCCAAAACCAAAATCATCTTGAACAGAGTTGGTGAACTCCCACTTTGCTTTTTCAAAACTTACAACAAAGCCTTTAGCAATGAAAAGTGTGATAATGATATAAGGCTAGACATACAGATCAATGGAATAGAATTGAGAATCTAGAAATCAGCCCATTTATCTTTGGCCAATTCATGTTTAACTTTTGACCAGTGTTCCAAAAGCATTCAATGGCGAAAGAATAGTGTCTTCCACAAATGATGCTGAGACAACGGGGTATCCATATGCAAAAAAATAAAGTTGAGCCCTTACCTCAAAATGGATATGAGACATAAATATAAAAGCTAAAACTATAAAAGTCTTAGAAAAAAACTTAGGGGGAAATATTCATAACCTTGTATTCAGCAATTGTTTCTTAGATATGACACAAAAAGTAGAAGCAACGAAATAAAAAATTAATTGTACTTTATCAAATTAAAACTTTTGTACATCAATTGTACTTTATCAAATTAAAACTTTCATGCATCAAGGGAGTGAAAAGACTACCTATAGAATGACAGAAAATATTTTCAAATCATATATCCAAAAAATGTCTACTATCCAGATTATATAAAGAACTCTGACAACTCAATAACAAAAAGACAAACAACTGAAGGGAAAAAATGAGCAGAATACTTTAACAGACATTTCTCCAAAGAGGATATACAAATGGCTAACAAGGACATGAAAAGATGTTCAACATAGTCATTAGAGAAATGCAAATCAAAACCACAGGAGAGGCCACTTCACTCTTGCTGGGATGACTAGACTAGAAAAAAAAGAAAAAAAAATGAGTGTTGGTTAGGATGTGGAGAAACTGAAATCCTCATATATTGTTGGTGGAATATAAAATTGTGCATGTGCTGTGAAAAACAGTTTGGTAGTTCCTCAAAAAGTTAAACAGAATTACCTTATGATTAAATGGTCTCGCTCCTAGGTTATACCCCAAATCATTAAATACAGGTGTTCAAACAAGTTTTACATAAATGTTCATAGCAGCACTATTTATAATTACCAAAAGTGGAAATAACCCAAAAGTCCATTAGCAATGAATGGATAAACAAAATTTGATATATTATTCAGCCATAAAAAGAATGAGTTTCTGATATATCCACATTGAAAAACCTTGAAAACAGTATGGTAACTGAAAGAAGCCAGACACAAGAGGCCACATATTATATCATTCCATTTATGTGAAATATCCAGAATAGGCAAATTGATGGAGACAGAAAGATTAGTGGTTGCCAGGGACCGGGGGTAGGAGGCATGGGAGTGACTGCTTCATGGATATGGGGCTTCCTTTCACAATAAAAAAATATGAAACGAAGAGGAATGATGGTTTCACAACATTGCAAATTTTTTGATGTCTCTGAATTTATCCTTTAAAATGGTTAAGATGGTAAATTTTAGGTTATGTGTGTTTTACCACAATAAAAATTTTAATGTGTATGAAAGGGATTTTATGAGTCATAAGATCAGACAGGCAGGTAACTTTTTTAGCTGGTTCAGGAAATACAATGAAAAGATGCCTAACTCTAATTAGGTAACAATGAACGCTCCTACACTGTGGCTTCTTCCGTGCTATAAGATACTAGTTGCTTTACAAATAGCTCTGGAAACAGAGGGAGGACAAGGAATAGAGAATAATAAAAATGTATTCATGGGTCATATCTTGCAATGACAGAAAAATACATCACTATATAAAAATATGAATTTTCAGACTCTCTTTGAAGTGCTCATTTAGCTAGCTATTGTTTCAATATTTATGCTATAGTATTAAAATGATGCCTTTTGTCATTTCCTAGGACCGGTATTGTTTATGTGTGCTTTGAAGAAGAAGGGGGCAAGAGCTATTGGGCACAATATGTAATCTTTAAAATATAGATTTATAAGCAAAAATATTTTGTATACATGAAAGAAGTCCTCTATGAAAAGAATTTTTAACTCCTTGCAAACGAAAGCTAAAATGCTTTATTCTTTGTAAAACACATTGAGAAAATATTTGTTTCTGACTGACCATTGATTAATACCTTCATAACATACTATTTTTAGGGAAACCACCATTTTTAATGAACACAGATTGAGTTAATGTTAATCAGACTTCATTGGTTTGGCTTAACCTCACATCCAATGCTGCTCTTTTAGATTTCTGTAATGGCAGACTCTCAATCAGTAACTCCATCTTGCAAACTCACAATATGTCACGTCCCAGTGACTGGCATGAATGGAGTTTTTGGGAACCATTCCACTCTTTCAAAAATGTCTTCAATATTTCCATTTCTACTTAGTAGGCATAAGGCCTTATGTTTTCACATAGAAGTGAGCAATGTTCACCTGTTTAGATACCACTTATGAAACAGGTGGAAGGCAAAGGCTCTTTATGGTATTTGACTGATTTAAGCATCAATAGCTTAATCATAGATCTCAGGTGAACCTAGTGCAGGTATTAATATCTAATAACATGAAACAGATGATAAAATAGAATATGCTCATGTTGTATATGATGTTATGTATATTAAATATTCCATATGTGTTTTATGAAGTAGAAAAAAAAAAGAGCTGGTGCCTCTATTTTTGGGCAAAGGGAAGGATTAGTCCAGTAATGGTCATATCACTTGTTTTAATCAATGAAATTTGAGTGAACATAAATTGCTCTAGCAAATGAAATGCTGTGAACATCTAAATGGAAATATTTGAGAAACAGTGAGGGATTCGTCATCAGCCTTCCCACTACCATGGCCATCCGAAAAATTTCAGCCTGTGGAGCCTCCATCATTGTGAGTTCTTAAGTGAGGACAACGTGGAACTAAGGCTCCCTGAACCAAAGTAAACACGTTGCATAAGTGTGTCTTCAACGAGTTAGACTCTGGAATTGTTTGTTACAGTAACATAGCCTATCTTATAACAATACAGCATATTATAGACTTAGGCTAAGCAGTATGTTTAATACAATATGTAATATATGTAGCATACATGTATTTATAAATGTACACAAAATGTCAAACTATGACATAAAATATAAACATATCCCTATCATGTTATTTTGATGATAATTTCCTTCTCTCCAAGAAATTAGTGTAACCCTGTACTGGATTTGAGATGTATTTGCTCCAGTTCTTGTCTGAATCCTCATTGTATCATCAAGTTCGAGACAATCCATGGCTCTGTTTCTGCACATCAGACTCTTCTGTAGTAGTCAACATTAGACATATCATTTCTTGGTATAAAAGCTGACATATGAATTACAGATTTTTCTCATTTCTTAGAAATTTTAGAAATTTAAATCATAAATTACATCTTTAACATTCTTTTTAAATTACCCTAGATGTTTTCTGTTTTTAATTACCAATTTTTTAGAAAGTGAAAAACCCTGGAAATATGACCTTGCTTGTGTTTGTAAAAGTCTGTCAAAGAATGCTTCAAGTGGTCTTTTTACTGTCTCCTAAGGGTTTTCTCATATTCTTGCAATTTTTGCTGAAAATTTCATCATCACAGAATGTTGCAGTGTTTCTTCATGGAAGCATCATGGTGGTAATTATATATTTATGTGTGCAATCATTTAAAAAATATCTTTTTCAAGTTTTAGGCTGTTAGCTCTATGAGTATCTGTTTAGTTTAATACTTTGTCATCTGAAGCCAGTATCAGGCTTGCCGCATAATAGGTTTTCCGTAAATATTTATTGGTAAATATCTGAAAGACATTTCTGAAGTTGATTTCTTCTTTTCTGGGTTTTATTTGTTTGTTTGTTTGTTTCCCTCCTCCCAAGACCACTTCTGTTTACATGAGACTTTGGTGAAAATCTATGGGAGAAACCAAAGCATGGTTAGTTTAAGAGCTATATATTTTTTTCTTCCACTCTACCTGACTTCATCTGGTACATAATAGGAACATAATTAAAGCATGCATGTGATTCTGAACACAAAGCACATAAAACCATGTAAATCACTTGGTTTTTTAACTTTTTTATGATTGTGATTTATAGTGGTAATGACGAGATTGGGTGTCAGGAGAGAGTGTTGGATTTGTAATTAGAAAGTGAAACAGATGTTAAAGCCTTCATTTTAAATGATGTTTTCATTATAACAGTCCTCATTGCTCACTGATCACCTTCTATTTCACATATTGAAATGCTCACCGAAAATATCTGGGTCTCTAGATAACACCCACCATACGAAGGCTTCACTGCAGTAGAGCACTGAGAAATTTTTGATTCATTACTCTTATAAATGGAGATCCCAAAAGACCCCATGTATAAAGTCACAGAAACAGAAACAAATTAAACCATTCTTTTTTTTTTCTTTTTCTTTTTGGATCCAAAATATTGGGTCTATAATCATGTTTACACACTGAATGTTTTACTCTGTTTTATAGAATTTACCTAGCTTATTATCTTGACCAAAATCCATTTTTTTTCCCTAGCTGATCAAAGGAGGGAAGAAAGGAAACCTGTATCCCAAATCAACCTAACACCGTTCAAAGATAAACACTGCTAGGGTAAACAAGTATATCTCAGCACTCTGGGTTTGGTGGTGAAAAACACCATTTGTGCTCTCCCTATGGTGTCCTTTAATCAGAGGATGGGTCACACAGGTTGCTCTGATGGAGGCTACGAGGTCTTGATGTAAGAGGCCTTTGCTGACACTGACACATGGGCAGTAGAAGGAATGCAACACTGTTGATTTTAGTTCAGTTAGGATTAGCAGGAGAATGGTGTCGTTAAATAGAAAAGGTTATAAAATTAGTAGGGAATATCAGAAATCGCTTTAGGCCTATTGATCTTTTCCTCTGCATCCTTCACGCTGCCCCCATCCCCACCTTGAATGTGGGGCAGTGCACACGTCTGGCTGAAGTCAGAAAAACCTTGAGTTATTGCTAGTATGTCTAAATGGGGAGATCTGAGAACAAATAGATGCCTGTCTTACCATCTAGAATGAATCATGAGGGCAGGGACTATGTCTACTCTGTTTGTCACTACTGCTGCAGTATCTAACACAGCAAATGGTACATGGCAGGGGCTCCAATGTTCATTAATTATTATCACACCATCTAACATTCCAGCAATGTTACTCAACGATAATAATTGTTTGCTGTTGTAATTGTGAGCATCAAGTCAGGTAGACCCAGACTTTAGGCTCATTCAAAACACTTAAAATCTCTAGAACCAGATTCAGCTGCCTGGTGAATCTGCAGACAAACTTCTTTTGCCTTGAGGAGGAAACCCTTTTCTGTCTGGTTTCACCAATGGAAATGATTGTCCACATCTGAATGAGCCAGTCTGTTCCTTCTTCACATGGAATGCCCCTCTTAGGAAGGAATAAACATCAGCTAGTGAACAAATGGAACTGCATATGAGAGAGGAAAGTCAGGTAATGAATTACAGAGATGCATTGAACAAATCTGCTTTGATGTGACATTGAGGTGCTGGTGTCAATAAGATGTTGGTCAACCCCATTTGATAAAGCACATGGAAAGACAAATTTAACTTTCTAGTTTAAGAGCCTGCATAAACGTGTTGTGCGCACATACAGGCCTCTTTGATCCGTTAATGGACTCCCTACTAAAACACATTTTCATCCCCAAATAGTTGTTAGTCAAGTTTTTCACCTTTTTCTTTACATTCCTTCACAATACCCCTTGACTTCATGAAATCACTCTACATTCTACTTCAAAGAGAGGTGTATGTTTATTAACCTGGTTGTGCATAGAAGAAGAATAAAAAGCTTTTAAATGGAGCATTGCAAATTTACAGAGACTACATATCATTGTATAGAAGACTGATTGTGTACAAGAACAGATCTGTAAAATCCCATTTGTTTAAAGGCAGGTGCTCTCAATTATAGAAATTTCTCCAGTTCTGTATCTCTCCTTAGGGATGAGTGCTCTTGTTCTGGTGAGGAGACACTCCAAGTGACATATCCATTTTTAATTAATCAGCACTTAAGGTTTTTAGACAATGAGGCCTTCATTATATTTCTGTTAATGAACTTGAAGGATAAATCTCTAGTCTATAGGTGACTCAGTGCTATAAACAAAATATTTCATGAAGCCAACCTTGAACTTGAGAACATATCAAGCCTTCTTCAAAGTAGGGTTCCTATCCTGCTCTCCCGAAGCATTATCACTGCTACTTTGTATTTAGATGTTCTAATTGTAATGTGAGAGCAGAGAATAAGAGTAAAAGACCCAACATATCATGGTGATTGTTAGAGCATGGTAAAGCCCGAAGTCCTGGCTTCTAAAACCCTGCCTTTGGATTGGCAGGATGCAGGTCCAAAGAGGTAAAGAGTGACTTATTATTGGGTTCTGAGGAAAAATGTCAGCTTAAATATATATCACCTAGAAGGAAAAAGTAAAATTAAGAGTTATTTATTATTCATGAATTATTTTTTGCTCCTTTTATTCCTACACTCTCATTTGAATTTTTGAATAATCATGATGATCAGATCTGGACAGGCAGTGTCATTTTTGCATGAGACAATCTGGTGTCTGTCTCGTTCATGTCACCTGGTAGATCAGTGCCTCTTAGCAAATGCCTGTGCTGCTGTGCAAGGTACAAGAGTACGTCAGCTGGGCATCTGCAGATGATGGCTCCAGGTGTTAGCCCATGAAAATTGCTGAAAGTCAATGCAAATGTCAAAGCTCTAGACATTGAGTTGCAAAAGCCATGCAGGCAAGGTCATGTTTTTGGTACTTGTAGCAGGAACCGAAGAGAAATTCTGAAAGCACTGCCCACATTGTCCCAGAGGGAGAGTTGACAAAAGTTTGCTCCACTGCAGAAAAACATTCAACACACATAAAATGTCCACTGTTCCCCGAGGCAAAAAAAAAAAAATAGAGTTTAAAGTATGTGTCTGAAGGAAAACAAAAACTGCCTCTTGTATGTCTGCACGTGGCAGGTAAATGAGTCTTTTCTAAGCCAAGGACCCTTTGTCTCTTGGCAACTTAGCATTTATTTCTTCACGCTCAGCAACATGAAATTTCCCCCTTCCAAAATTCAAGCCATCTGGGCTATTAGCAACATAATCAATCCTAGCTAATAAATCACCTCACCCAATGTTCTTGACAACACAAATTCTGTAGTATGTTAAAACATTATAATAAATGACAACATGGTATGATCTATGAGGCCTCTTAGCGCTATCCACTTCACCCAGCTGGGAAAATTATGGCCTTCAAAATCTTAATTTTGAGCACTTATGTTTGCAGAGCAGACATCTAAAAATGTGTCAGTTTTGTGGGATTTTAAAACCACTTACCCATGGAAGAAGCCCTTGGCTTTTCTTGACAGAAGACATTGTGATCAAAATGTCTTCTTAATGCTTTCTGTGGCCAAGCAATAAAAGAGTTAATGAAAATCAACAATTTGGATGCTGGTTAATAATGCAAATTGGTTTCTTATAGTACCGAGTGAAATGTAATTTTGGCATGGCTTATTTTACATATAGCTCTATTGCCTGGGGTTATGTTTTTACAAATGAGACACACTATTCTTTGCTGTGAGAATATATAGTGATTTGCAAATATTAAGCCATTAATGTCTTCAGTCTCCTCAGGGCCAGCAAGTTGGAAGCATTCTATTTCAAAAACTCAGAGTCAATGTACTAGGACCATGCACAACATGAGGGCACAGTGGCTGCCATGATAAAGTACCTTGTGCAGAATTGTACTCAATGACTCATTATGAATCTTCTTGATTGTTTTTTTCACCAGGTAACATTTCTTGAGAATCCAACTAACTTATATAATAAAAATAATGTGTGGTGATTCCAAACACCAGAAATGATATCCTAAGTACACTTATAAAAAGCCCTCAGGAGACTTGTAGATTAACTCTTATCAGTAATAGAGAGGATATGAAATATTTAGAGGGAGATATAAATAGGTACCTGTAAGCCATCACTAGGCACATAATATTGTAGATGGCCGGAAAATTTGTTTTAGTCCATCTCTGGCTTTTTCCCTGCTGTAGTGACAGTTAGACTGCTAATTGTGCTGTACAGTTTTTCTGCATCAAGAAAACATTATTCACAAAAGGGCTAAAGTCCAAGTAGTGTGCAAGACACTGAAATAACGAACTATTTAGGAAAAGAATTTCAAAAATATAAAGTATAGGCAGGTGGTAGAGCTGACAGGAAGATGTGCTCTTATGCAAGGCTAGCAGGTATTTACATACTGAAATCAAAGTAGTTTATATGTCATATATTATTTATTATCTACTATATACACACACTTAGGGTCATCTACAAATAAAGCCATTCTGACAGTCCAGAGCACTAAAATTCAGTGCGCCAACCTAGAGGATTTTTTTCTTGAGCGACACACTGTCTAACTTTTAAAATATCTTCAAAGGATGTTTCTCAAAATAGCCCAGCCTGATTCACTCCATCATCCTTCATCACTTGTCAATCAATAAGTCATCCAATCAATCAATCAATCCATCAAAACTAAGTATTCTCATAAACAACCATTCTAGAGCTTTTTCATTTCATCAACCAGTGAAGTTTAGGGGGGGAAAATAGGAATTGACATGTTGTTGCAAACATTTTATTTTCCAGATAAGAACTTAAATAACAGAAACTATCAGTACCATATGCTATCACAGTGTTTAAAAAGAGATATTATATTTTAACATCAAAAAGAAATAAAAATATATTTTAGAACAAGGTATAGCTCTTTTCATAAATAAAGAGCTAGAACCTTCCTGATATATATGTATATCCATACACACAGAGTTACAAACATACATGCATACATATATGTAATTGTCCTTTTATTTTATTAATTTAAACTACAAATTTTTCTTTATTTTATCAACATTTGGTAGATTTTGGGCAAAGAGGGAGGCCTTAGCATAACTCCAAACTGGCATAGTCTTTTATATGATCATTGGCAGATAATCTTAGTAATAGGAAGAATTTCCAGTCATAATTTAATTCTAAAACATTAGCTGAAAGAGAATCTTGGATTTTGATGTAGACATCAATTATTAATTTACTGTCTTTCAGCTCCAAACCTGCCCGTCTACCCTTTGTGATGCTGATGCTGAGTCTCTGCAAACTGCATTTCTGATTTGCCAGTTTGCTTAGTCAATAGAGGATGATAAGGGAAGACTGCAAGGCTACAGAAGAAGAAGTAGAAGAAAAAAAAAAAAAACTAGTGCCTTCTTATTGATTCTTTCATGAGTTTAGAGCCTGTTTGCTGACTGCCTGCCAGAATATCAGCCTAGCAATGCATTTTCACTGGGAAGTGGTAGCACCTTTTAGTGGAATCCAGTGGGAACTTTCTCCAACATTTGTAAAACCAACTTGTTCATACCCTGCAAAGATCTCAGCACTAGCCAACTAGTGCCCTTTCCTCAAAGGTCTAGATCCCAGGCTCATGAAACAATGCTTTCAAGTTTCCAAATTTTATAAATCCAATCTTTTCTTTTTGTTCCCTTGGCCCTAAGGATGGAAGTTGCTTTCTGCAGTTGCTACCTCAGTGATAATTTAGAGCAAGGGTTGGCAAATGAGTAATTTTATTTGTTGACTGGGCTAAGGGATGCCCAGATAGCTGGTAGAACATTACTTCTGGGTGTATCTAGGAAAGTGCTTCCAGAAGAGATTAGCATTTGGATCAGTGGGCTGAATAAAGAAGATCTGTTCTCACCAATGTGAATGTCATCCAAACCATTTAGGGCCCAAATAAAGCAAAAAGATAGAGGAAGGGCAAATTCTCCATCCTTGAACTGGATCATTCAATTTCTCCTGCCCTTGGGAATCTGAGCTCCTGGTTCTTGAATCTTCAGACTGCAGGACTTATACCAGTGTTCCCCCTGGTCCTCAGGCCTTTGGACTCAGATTGAATTACACCTCTGCCTTTTCTGGGTCCCCAGCTTGCAGACGGCAGATCATGAGACTTCTTGGCCTTTATAATCTCATGTTTCAACTCCCATAATAAATTCCAGATCTACATATATCCTATTGGTTCTGTTTATCTGGGGGAATGCTGACTAATACAGCAAACTACAGTTTGTAGGCTGAATCTTCCCTGCTGCCTGTGTTTTTGTAAATAAAGACTTATTGGAACACACTCAGGCCCACTTCTTATGTCTGAGGTCGCTGTTTTCTTGCTTCCATGTGGAACTGAGTAGCATGATGGCTCACAAAACTAAAAGTATTTCTATCTGGCCCTTTGCAGAAAAAATTTCCTGATCTCTAACTAAGAGTTCTCTTTTTACGCTTTCAGTTACCTAGTTAAAAACTTCATATCTGGTTAACTGTGTTTTAAAATATTAAATTCTCTTTTCAAATAACCAGGTGAAGCTTCTGTTTTCACACTGATATAACGTGAAAGATTCACAAATTAACAAAAAATTGACAAATAAGAGAACTGCAAAACACACACTGCGAAAGTGAAAACAAAGAAAACAATCATAGATGGGAAGGACCTCCCTAAAGAGTCAGCAAATCAACCAGACCCTGGAATTGCCACATTCCCAAGGCTAAAGAAAACAAAATGAAACAAAAAGTTTTACACCAGGGAAAAATGATAAATGGTCAAGAGGAACTTTTTAATTGCGTAAACTAAAATCAGGTCAACCTGCAGCAAGAATATTTATGAACAAATATCATTGCCATGGAGACAGATACCAAGAACAGATCAAAATTATATCTTTGAACCCAAACTGTATCTCAGGGAAAGAAAGATAACTATAAGTCTATTTGGCATTTTCCTTCACTCCGCTCTAATAATTTTCAATAGATCATGTGACATTTGGAAAGGTGGGCTCAAATGACCTCTTCATACAGTTCTACGTTCCTTTCTTTACGTGGCACTTGTTTTGGTTATAAAAAAGTATAAAGCTATGTAAGGATGAGAAAAGAAGTATAAGTATCTGCTCATTATTTTTATTCCATCTTTTGACAGGAACCCGTTAATGATATAACTAGTGGCAATAGAATTGCAGCATGATATTCCATTAGGTAACTTATTTTTGGCTGCTTGTTAAGAAGTGTTGCCTAATGCAATGTTGTAAGGACAAAAATCACAGTTTTCCTACCTGGTACATAAGAAATGCTTTCCTGGCTTTCAAATATACTACAGAGAGATCACAGTTTTGACTACCATCTCTGGAGATTTTGTTAGCAACATTTCTTTTCATTGGAAATCACTTTTATAAGACATTAAAACTTTATAATATTTGTGGCCTCTAAATCTTAGAAGAGATGAGCCAGCTAACCTACAGATATTTTCCACCAGAATTGGTAGATGAGTCTTTTATATTTTCTAAGAGCTTATTACTTTACACACACACAAACACACTTAACTGAAAACAATTATTCCTCCTTACTCTGATGTTTCTTAATACATGCTTAATGCAAATTGGCAACTGCTTTGTATTTGAAACTTGCCAGCGCCTTCGATTATGAAAAAAATATACATGTATGATAAGAATCTGCAGTAGAAAAAAAAGTAACAATTGAAGGAAGCTTTGAACATGTCCTTGGTATTCAGACAACTGAAAAATATCTAATTTAATGATAGTAAATCTGAGCTTCCTGCGAAATCCCAGAGAAAATATTTTTTATGGTATCCTTTCTGCACCAAGGCTGTCTCTATATGAGGGGTTGGCATACGATGGTTGGTGGACCAAATCTGGCCCTCTGCCTGTAAATAAAGTTTTATTGGAACACAGCCAGGCTCATTTGTTTACATACTATCTATGCTGCTGTCATACTACCGTGGCAGATTTCAAATGCTAAAATATTTACTCCTTTACCCTTTGCAGAAAAAGTTTGCAGAACCCTGCTCTATATAAATCAAGTATTTTTAATTATATTATTTGACCTCTAAATTTTATACTCCCTTCTCTCACTAGTCTTCAAAGAACCAAAAATGGGAACATATAAATGTATGTCTTTCCAAGTCTCAACATTTCTGCAATGATGCATTCCCTTTCATTCCATTTCTGATCCTCCTCTCTTGCCGCCTGTCTGGACATCTAAGCATCCTCATTCCCTCCCTCTCCTTCACCACCCACACTCCTTGATGAACAAGTCTTCTCCATTAAAACTGGCACAACTTCCACTCCTTTTCTAGACGATTGAAATAACCTCCAATACACGCTACTTCCATTCTTTGCTTCTTCAATCCATTTCCCTCATTATAAATAGAGCAATCTTGCCAGAATGCAAATTGAATGTGTCACTCTCTTTATGCAACCACTTTATTGTTTTTCATCATCTCTAAGAGTACATCTTAACCTTGTGATCACAGAACATTGGTATGAGGAGAGCTGCTATATGACAGTTTTACACACACACACACACACACAATGTGCACACACACACACACACACACACCCCTAACTGAAATAAAAGAACTGGATTTTGAGGTGGTTGTGTTTTGATGAATAAGACGGGATAGGTTATTGTTCTGCATTCTTTTATGGGATGATCAGTCAGGTGTAGCCACAAGAGGAGACACAGGAGAGGCTCAGGAAAACAAAGTTTATTATCCTCATCAGTCCTAAAAATAGGAGACATGACACTCCTCACAGACACATGGGGAGGTCTCACTGTGGTCAGGGGGCAGAAAGCAGGAGTTCGAAAGGTCTAGGTGAGAGCCTTTATTGGGGTTTTGGAGAGAAAGAAAAGGCAGGGCAGGGTGAACATCTTAGGACTGGCTAGTTTAAATAATTTTGGTGGGCTCTATGATACGGGCTGGTCCCTGGTTGCCTGGTACCTGGCACTGGGATGACTGAGGCAGAGAAATATTATCTCCTGGAGCATACTGACCAGAGATATGACTCTGGATTGGTTAGTTTGAATTATCAAACATAAGCTCCTGGCTGAGCCCTGTGCTGTCTCTAAGGACTGGCTGGCTCAGGGAAAGCAGTCGCTCCCAACCCAGAACAAAATTTAAGTATCAAGACATCATAATATAGAGAAAATGAAAATATAAACATTACAATTATCCTTCTATTTACCTTTTCTCCTTGGGATTCCGACACATTTTTCTAAAGAAGGAGAGAATGGGATAAAGTTGGAGGAAGTTCACCTGGAATTATGCATGAATCTGGATACATCCACGGAAGAGCGGAACATGTGGAAACATAATGTTTTTATGAGAATTGGTGATCTGCAGGAGAAGGCATAGAGTCTGAGACTGTAATGATCTGACACCCATGACAACCTTCTCCATGGAATCTCCCATCAATTCATCACAGAGTCCTTCTGCCTGTGATGATTTACGGTGGTTCCTTGCTGTCCCTTAGACTTTACCACTCTGTACTTGGCCTGCTGCTTCCTCTGCCTGTGATGCTCTTCCTCAGCTTGATGGACTCCTATTTATCCTTCAAGATTGGGCTTAGACAACTCGTATTCAAGGGAAGCCTTTTCTGATCTCTCCAGACAGAGTTATACACATCCTTCCCTGTTCTCCCCAAATACCCTGTAGAACCCCACACCCTTCCCTTATAACCTGTGTGCACAATATTTGATTACCATATTGTCTTCCACCTAGAGGACCTCAAATGTTTTTTTTTTTTCCTTCTTCTTTACATTTATAGTGCCTGGGACTCCACCTGTCATCTAGTGGGTGCCAAATAATTACTTGCTGAATGACTGAATCTCTTTTTGCTATTTCAACAAGTCAGAGAAAACATTGATGTTTAACTCCGCTATATCTTCTCCTCCCAAACAGTAAAACAGGGAAGAAGCTTCACTCACAGCCGAGAGTCACGAGTTGAATTCTATGTCTCTCAAAACATTGAGAGATGAAGAACCTTACTTTAAATAAATAAATTCCCAAATGATGTCATTTGATTCTTCAGTAGGAGAAGTGTTTTGGGGCAGCAGCTTTTCTAGTATTATTTGTATTCAACCATGTCCTATGGCAACTGAGAAGTCTCTGTTCTCTATTCCGTATGGATAGAGTGACAAATTGAGGAAGATTACTGGAGAATCTATAAGGTTACACAGCCTCATTTATATGAACTCTGAAGAAACAGCAGATGTCAGATATAAGCAGAAAGGTTTTTCAAGAATAGTTTGGGAGGCTGTCTAAAATAAAGCACAATGCCTCATTCTTTTTAATCCTGCACCCACAAGGTGCTGAAAATATAGTGTTTAAAAAGCAGATAGCCAGTCTCAAGCCAGTATTTTGAACCTATAGGATTTTTAATATTTAACAAGAGGTTTTGTCTCTATGTGTAGTGGTTAAATCAATCAATTAATAGTGAAAATTTCACACAACCAGCTTCCACACATCTTTTTTTTTTTAAACTGGATCGACTAGCTATGTTATTCTCATGAAATCATAGGGTTTAATGAGAACTTATGACCTAGTAACAATGAAATAGCAGATTTTCACCTTGTAGTTACTGTCTAAAAAAAGAAATTGAGGGAGTCCATTATGGGAGCAGTTTAAGAGTTTTGCCATGAATTTATTGAGTCTGATTATGAATTGTGAGTGAGAAATTGGTTTCTGGGTTTTCAACAATGGAAATAATTAAACTTGATCAGTGACAAGAAACCAGTGAAACTGGCAACTTTAATGGGGCTATTTTGTCCTCAAAAGTTTTCCTGAAAACATAGGGTAATGCCATTAGTGCTGAATTTGCCCACCTGTAACAAAAATTTTTTCCTTAGGGCAGAGTAGACGTGAATGGAAACCACACTGTGATGAAGAAAGAGTCTGAGGTGATTTATGTGTGTGGTTTGGCTTGAAAGTGGGTGGCAAAGGTAAAGAAAAAAAATTAATGACCTTTCCAGGGCTCTTTTTCCCCCTCTAATTCTATGGAAAGAGCTGTGTTCCATGAAACTGGAGTGATAAAATAAGGGCTAAAGGAAACTATAACAGGGATTATTATTTATATGTTTTCATAGACATGGACAACGAATGTGAGATACAGTGGCATGATTTTCACTGGAATAATATGTATCACTTATACGTGTGTATGTATTGAAAGTTGGATGGAGAAGAATAGGGTAAAGAAAGTCAAATTATAGGAACAATTGCCAAAATCCAATAGTTGGAAAATATACAAATAAGTAAACCTTATTTATTTTATATAGGTTACACTAACAGTCCAGACTTCACCACTACACAAAATATTCATGTGACAAGACTGCCTTTGTACCCTTTAAATTTATACCAAAAAAAAGAGAGAAATGTTTGCTTAGTGCTTACTGTATTTCTGACATTGTTCTAACAACTTTATGAATATAAACTCATTTTATTATCCTAACTACCCTGTGTGGTAGGACTATGGTTAGCCCCCTTTCACTGCAGCCCAAAGAGGTTAAGTAATTTGTATAGAGTCACACAGCTAGTAAGCTGTGAGGCTGGATTCCAACCTCTGTCTCCTCATGCCCTGCTCTTAACCCCATGGATAATGGACTTATCCAGAGTGAAAGTAGTGAGATATCCTGGGAATACACAGCATAAATTGTGCACAGTGTTGATATTAATTAAAGAAGCAGCTGATTAATTTTTTATAGCACTAGAACATTTTCTGCAGCATTCCTGCCTTACTTACCTGCCATGCCATTCACCTTTGATTCTTCTCCAGGGTGAGGAAAATAAAGAAAAAAAAAAAGGATAAGAGAAGCACTAGGAAAGTGATCCAGACAATTTGGTGAGTTACTTTTTGATTGATATATTACTTATGAATTCAGTGGCTGTACTAATAGAGATGAAAGGGCTAGTGGTTTTTCACCAATTTTCTTTTTTAATTTTATTTTAAGTTCCTGGGTACATGTGCAGGATGTGCAGGTTTGTTACGTAGGTAAATGTGTGCCATGGTGATTTGCTGCCTGTATCAAACCATCACCCAGGTATTAAGCCCAGCATGCATTAGCTATTTTTCCTGATGCTCTCCCTCCCTCCATGCCCCCTGACAGGCCCCAGTGTATGATGTTCCCCTCTCTGTGTCTATATGTTCACATTGTTCCACTCCCACTTATAAGTGAGAACATGCGGTGTTTGGTTTTCTGTTCCTGTGTTAGTTTGCTGAAGATAATGACTTCCAGCTCCTTCCATGTTTCTGCAAAGGATATGATCACATTCCTTTTTATGGCTGCATTGTATTCCATGGTTTATATGTACCACATTTTCTTTAGCCAGTCTATCAGTGATGGGCATTTGGGTTGGTTCCATGTCTTTGTTATTGTGAATAGGGCTGCAATGAATGTATGAGTGCATGTATCTTTATAATAGAATGATTTATATTCCTTTGGGTATATACCCAGTAATGGGATTGCTGGGTCAAATGGTATTTCTGCTTCTAGATCTTTAAGGAATCACTAAATTGTCTTCCACAATGGTTGAACTAATTTACATTCCCCAAAACAGTGTAAAACTGTTCCCCTTTCTCCGCATCCTTGCCAGCATCTGTTGTTTCTTGAATTTTTAATCATTGCCATTCTAACTGGTGTGAGATGGTATCTCTTTGTTGTTTTGACTTGCATTGCTCTAATGATCAGTCAGGTTGTGCTTTTTAAAGATATGTTTGTGGGACGCATGAAAATGTCTTCTTTTCAGAAGTGTATATCCATGTCCTTTGACCACTTTTTAATGGGGTTGTTTGTTTTTTTCTTGTTAAGTTTCTTGTAGACTTTGGATATTAGACCTTTGTCAGATGGATAGATTGCAAAACTTTTCTTCCATTCTGTAGGTTGTCTGTTCACTTGATGATAGTTTCTTTTGCTGTGCAGAAGCTCTTTAGTGAAATTAGATCCTATTTGTCACTTCTTGCTTTTGTTGCAGTTGCTTTTGACATTTTCATCATGAAATCTTTGCCTGTGCCTATGTCCTGAACGGTATTGCCTGGATTTTCTTCTGGAGTTTTTATAGTTTTAGGTTTTACATTTAAGTCTTTAATACATCTTGAGTTAATTTTTGTATAAGGTATAAGGAAGGGGTCCAGTTTCAACTTTCTGCATATAGCCAGCTAGGTTTCCCAGCATCAATTATTAACTAGGGAATCTTTTCCCATTGCTTGTTTTTGTCGGGTTTGTTGAAGATCAAATGGTTATAGATGTGTGGTCTTATTTCTGAGTTCTCTCTTCTGTTCCATTGGTCTGTGTGTCTGTTTTTATACCAGTACCATGCTGTTTTGGTTACTGTAGCCTTACAGCATAGTTTGAAGTCGGGGACCATGATGCTTCCAGCTTTGTTCTCTTTGCTTAGAATTTTCTTGGCTATACAGGCTCTTTTTCTGGTTCCATATGAAGTTTGAAATAGCTTTTTTCTAATTCTTTTTTTTTTTCTTTTTGAGACAGAGTCTCGATTTATCACCCACGCTGGAGTGCAGTGGTGCTATCTTGGCTCACTGCAATATCCAACTCTCAGGTTCAGGCAATTCTCATGCCCTAGCCTCCTGAGTAGCTGGGTTTACAGGCATGCACCCCCATGCCTGGCCAATTTAGAGACATGGTTTCACCATGTTGGCCAAGTTGGTCTCGAACTCCTGACCTCAAGGGATCCGCCTGCCTCGGCCTCCCAAAGGCTGGGATTATAGGCTCGAGCCACCACACCTGGCCAGTTTTTTCTAATTCTGTGAAGAATGTTAATGGTAGTTTAATGGGAATAGCATTGAATCTATAAATTGCTTTGGGCAGTATGGCCATTTTCACGATATTGATTTTTCCTATCCATGAAAATGGAATGTTTTTCCATTTGTTTGTGTCCTGTTGGATTTCCTTGAGCAGTGGTTTGTGGTTCTTTTTGAAGAGTGCCTTCACTTCCCTTGTTAGCTGTAATTCCTAGGCATTCTATTCTTTTTGTAGCAATTGTGAATGGGAGTTCATTCATGATTTGGCTCTCTGCTTGTCTGTTGTTGGTGTATAGGAATGCTTGAGATTTGTGCACATTAATTTTGTATCCTGAGACTTTGCTGAAGTTGTTTGTCATCTTAAGAAACCTTTGGGCTGAGACAATCGGGTTTTCTAAATATAGGATCATGTCATCTGCAGAGACAATTTGATTCCATCTCTTCCTATTTTAATGCCCTTTATTTCTTTCTCTTGCCTGATTGCCCTAGCCAGAAATTCTAATACTATGTTGAATAGGAGTGGTGAAAGAGGGCATCGTTGTCTTGTGCTAGTTTTCAAGGGGAATGCTTCCAGCTTTTGCCCATTCAGTCTGATATTGCCTGTGGGTTTGTCATAAATGGCTCTTATTATTTTGAGGTATGTTCCTTCATTACGTAGTTTATTGAGAGTTTTTAGCATGAAGGGATGTAGAATTTTATCGAAGGCTTTTTCTGCATCTATTGAGATAATTATGTGGTTTTTGTCTTCAGTTCTGTTTATGTGATGAGTTACATTTATTGATTTTCATATGTTGAACCAGTCTTGCATCCTGGTGATGAAGCCGACTTGATCGGATAAGCTCTTTGATTTGCCGTGGGATCTGGTTTGCCTGTATTTTACTGAGAATTTTGCACTGATGTTCATCAGGGATATTGGCCTGAAGTTTTCTTTCTTTCTTTTTTTTTTTTTTAAATTTCAAAATCCGGGGCACATGTGCAGGATGTGGTTGTGTTACATAGGTAAAATGTGCCATGGTGATTTCTTGTATCACAAAGAAATGTTTCTTAAACTTTTTTTTGAGAAGCTATCTTAAACCCTAATCTAATTAAAGATCCTGAGAAATGAGAGATGATGTTTATCTTTTATCTGTGTCTGTATATGATTAAAGTATTATGTGAGTATCCTAACTATTTCCAGGACTGAAAAATTTTCTGTTACATAGAGCAAGTGTAACTTCTTTCAAAGCCAATTGGAATTGATTGGGCATTTTCTTCATGTGAGGGAGAAATCTATGCGATTTCACCAACATTCTCTCAGCCACTACCCAAATGATTTTACTCTCATCAAGATCAAAATATTATTACAAAAGAAGTTGTCTTTGTCAGCAACATAGACACTTCTTTGTGTCCTGCATCTTTTCTGATGCTTCATACATGAGTTTTATGAAACCAAACTCACTAATTTGACTTATGGTTGACTACACTCCAGGACCTTCTTTGATCTTAAAGGGAGATTGGCTCCTTTGTCTCAGATGGGTTTCCAGTGAGTCACTTTTGCGCCATTCTAGACTATAGAGTCACTTAGCTTTGTACTCAGCCACTTTGAGGGTTGGTGTCATTCTTAGTCTTTGTCCCTGTAGATACTTGAACTCTTAGATTAGCAACCTATTAAATACAGCATATATGCAAAGCCACTAAAATATGTGGCAAAATAACAAGCTTTGTGGAACACAACTCCTAGCTCCTACTGCAAAGCCAAAATTCTTTCTCAAGCTAAAATATAAGTACTTGGAAAAGGAAGATGCTTGCCTTGACAGAATTTCAGTAGGCAAAGAGTATCAGTGGAAATCTGTGTCTTCAAGTCTCTATTGAAGTAGATTTCTTCAAAGGTTCAGTAAAAGGACCAAACGTATATTCATCAAATTCATCATTGATCTATAATGCATGTCTTGCTTCCAGATACGTTTTCTGGCCCATAAGTGTAGTAACATGCTGAGTGATAATATTTAAGCTGTTTCCTGGGGTCAGACTAGTGCCCATCTTCCATGCTTTCCTTATTTGTACAGTAAGATATTTAGAAAGCATAAATATAACAAAGGTGGTCACCTACAATTCAGAGAAATTCATGTCTTTAAGAATAGGTAAGATACCCCAGAAGAGTTGTGCCTTCTATATTACTACTTCTTTGTAGCTTTTAAGGATTTAAGCAAAAGCATCTGAATATAAAGCTTTCAGATCATTAAAGATATAGCTTTAAAACAATAGAAATTTCTAATGTTTCCAAATCACTCTCTCTCCTCCTACCCTCTGACACTGTGGCTAATCGTTTCCTTGCTGCGTAGTGTAATTGGGAGGGAAAAGTAATCTGTAGAGCTGACGGATCTTAATTTCCATTTCTTCCACTTACTAGCTATATGAAATTAGGTAAACTTCTTAATCAGAAGCTTGGCATTCATATTTGTAAATTTGGTATGGAAATAATTTATTAGGAAGGATATTACAAGAAATAGGTAACACACGTCTGATAATTCTACTATATCATTTAGTGCATAGAAATGCAATAACTATTAATTCATCTTTCCCTTTCAGTTGTAAATGGCAAGTAGAAGCATTACTCTTTTAAAGCAGTTGGGATCTGATGTAAATAACTTGCCCACTCTGAGTGGAACACCTGTCCTTAACTAGGACAAATTCAGGAGGTCCAAGGCCAGGAGCCAGCCCACCATCAGCTCTTCCCTCTTACCTTTCTTTCCTTGTCTTTGATCATTGGAGAATTGTGGTATTTCTCTTCAAAGGCAGGAAGTTTGTACATCTGCTACACTGTGTACTTGATCTTTACTGGATTATGCAGAATTATCTAAATAAACAAGAACATACCAAGCACTTCCTCCCCATTAAGTGCACAGCCAACTGAGTCAGACTACCATTTCTTTGTAGCTTGACACAACTACAGAAAGATCAAATACCAAACCACCTTCCAGCTGCAATTCCCTAAAAAGAACTGACTCTTAGGGTGAGGCCATTTTAGTGGTGTCTGAAAGACTTTGGTTGAGTCAAAACATTATCCAGGCTGGTAAAGGAACTAATGACAAAGAATGATCTGACACTTCACCAGTTCAGTTGTAAATATATGTATTTAGTATATGTATTAATATATATGCACCATATGTGTTAGTATTATATATTTTAGTCTACGTAAGTTTACGTATATAACAATATTACATACATCATTATATATTAATATAGATTTTAAAGTACATATTTTATGTATATCTATGCACACACACACTTTTCTTTTTCAAGTAAAGTATATTCTGGTAAACTGAATAATAATTCTTAAGAATATCTACTGTGGTAGATGTGATTCATCAGTAAAATATCTGCCTAAACAATGCTTCCCTGTTTCAGAACATGGCAGATTTGATTTCTATTTCCCTTAGCCGTTCTTCTTTCACCATATCGTCAAGTTCTCTTGATTTTGTGTCTGAAATGTATGTCATCATGGTCACCATCTTGGTCAAGGTCCTAGTTTCCAACCTAGAATATTGCAAGAGTCCTAGAAAGATTTTGTATTTCCATTTTTGATTCTCCTCAGTCTATTCTCCAATTGTAAAATAATCTTTTCAAAAAACCCATCAGTTTGAGATAAGCAGGTTACAGGTAACTCAACCAGGTTAGGGAATTCTCCATCCCCGACCAGAAACATAGACCCTCCACAATCTCAACATGTCACATGCCCAAAGCAGAGTTGGGATAAAGTCAGGGACCAACCTGGCCTTTCCTCACCATCCAAGGGTGACCCTGTGGCATTACTGCCACATCCAGGAGAAGGCAGAATTTTCCCTTTGCCTCAGGAGTTCTCAGGAGTTGGTCTGTAGTTAGGCCTTCTCTTATGTGGGCAGAAAGATTAGACAAACTTTTGGCAAGATAATATTGCACTTTAGCCATTAGCTTCCTCGTATGTCCTGGCAATGACAATCAGAAAAACAGCAGCAACCATGATGTTAGCACTTAGCAGGTCATTCTCAGTACTTAGATTCTGAGTGCTTAAATTATTTAAAAAGTTTTTTTTTATTTTTAATTTTTGTGGGTACATAGTAGGTGTTTTAAAAAAATCATTTCTATTCTCAGTGCTTAGATTCTTAGTGCTTCATTCTGTGTCATGCTTAAAGAAGCCTCTTCTTTTGATTTTTTCATTTTTAAATAACTATTGAAGTATGTTTTCCACATCACAAAATTCACCCATTTTAGATCTACAATTCAGTGGTATTTAATATCTCTACTAAGTGGTGCAGCAGTCACCATAGCAAGCTTTAGGGCATTATCATCCCCCCACAAGATCCTCCATGCCCTTTTACAGTTAATTCTTCTTCCCATCCCAGCCATAGACAACCACTAATCTACTTACTGTTCTTTAAATTTGCTTTGTTTGTACATTTCATAAGCATGTGGTCTCCCAGATTTGGCCTCCTTCATGTTGTAGTGTGGGATGAGCAGCAATTCATTCCTTCCATTGCTGAATGGCATTCCAGCTTATGCATATACCACATTTTGTTTACCCATCACCAGTTATATCTCATTTTGTAAGTCTCTTTTCCTTGAAAAGTTTATCCCTTTCTTTGCCACATGCAACCTAAATTTTCATTAATGACAATAAGTTGGTGGGTGAATTCTGCAACAGATATGAAAAGTAGGGCTTGATGGTTTTCCACTTAAGGAATACGTGACATAAAGAACTAAAATGACTAAATGAAAGACATTGTGTTTTTGACTTTTCTCTACAAATAGCAAGAAGGATCTCTGCTGCAGACTCTGACAAATGGGTGAACCCCTAGGTTCTTCCTATATGTACCTAGAATGGCTGGGTATATGGCTTTGATCAGGCATATACCTGTTATCCTTATTATGAGAGGAATGACTCACTTAAGGACAGGGAGCAGTGCAACTTATTTAACTCTTGTGTCTGCATTATATTCAGGAAAGCTACAAATTTTGTGAGCCATTGTGAAACCAATACATGAAGCCGTGTAGCGGCCAAAATATCCCTGGCAAATGTCCATAGGAATAGGCAGAGGTGAAGGCTTCTGCTCAGAAATTCTTGCCACTTTTGTGTCATGGGCTTCATATTAGAACTGGGATTCATTGTGGTCGAGGACAATGACAATTTGACAAATTGGGACAGGGCTCTATAAATGGCGGCCTTTTTCCACAAAGTCTAAACTAGTGGAGTTCATTTAAATTAGAGTATATTTCAAACTTCTGGATGAACTACTACTCAATGGAATTACCCAATGTCAATAATGATTCATGGTCTCACTCATCAGAAAACCTCTGTCCTCTGAAGCTTGAAGAATAACCAAAATAGTGATAGGTCAGTGAATAACTTCAAAGGCAGTGGCTACTCTAGCTTGACCACGTTGAGATAGTTCCCAACATCTAGGTCGATCACTTAACAAACCTGTTTGAAATAGCCAGTATCGTCTCTTAGTCAATATTTTCTGGTGACAAGAAATCCACTCAAAATACCACCACTAGGGGAGGATATTATAATAATAAAAAAGACATGGAAAATAATTATATATGGGGAGTCAACATGGGAACTTAATATGAGAAGACACTGAAACAACTACTTTTCTTTCCGAATTTCAGGACTAAATGTTTTGCTCCCTGTCTGTTCATTGGGGTTCTGATGCTTTCTCTCCACTATGCTTCTTTTTTCCTTCTCTCTGAATATACCAGTGGAAAGAGATATTGATCTGTGTGTAGAAAACAAAGCTCAAAGGCAAGAGCCAGGGGAAGCCAATTGAAGTGATAATCTGGGAGCAGTGGACACTGAGAAGAACCCTATGAACAAATGAGAACTGTCAATGGCCTGGTTAAGAGATAGAATGAGCTACGACAGGGGCAGTTCTATAACAAATTACACAAGCATAGAAAATCCATGGGGTTTTCCTTCCACATATAACCTAGCATACTTTACCGAACCCAGAGAAAACTTTTCCAGTCCCATATATAACCTTAGCAATGCAGTCTCACTTTTCAGAGTTGACATTCCTATTTAGGCATAAGAATTTGCTGGTCTTCATAAAATGACTGAGTGCTCCTTCCAAGTAATTGTAGTAGAAACCACATGACATTCCCCCTAACTTTTAAAAAAATATCAGACTCTCCTGCAGCATAAAAATAAATTGCTTATGTGGCTGGGCACAGTGGCTCACAGCTGTAATCCCAGCACTTTGGGAGGCTGAGGCAGGTGGATCACTTGAGGTCAGGAGTTTGAGACCAGCCTGCCTAACATGGTTAAACTCCATCTCTACTAAAAATACAAAAATTAGCCGGGCATGGTGGCGCACGCCTGTAGTCCCAGTTACTCGGGAGGCTGAGGGCGGAGGGTCACTTGAACCTGGGAGGTGGAGATTGCAGTGAGCCAAGACTGTGCCACTGCACTCCAGCATGGGTGACACAGTAAGACTCTGTTTCAATTAAAAGATACAAATAAAAAAATACATTGCTTATATAAGCAGGAAATGAGAGAGATTTAACCTAAATGAATAAATACACCTTTGTGGTTTTATTCAACGTTAACATTCTATATGAGACAGACTAAATGCTTTCTTCAGAATTAGAGCTCTTCTTGAGGTGGCGAATTCACTCAAGGTATGCATTAATACTCTAGAAACACATTGCCTGTCACTTCTTACTGCTTGCTGCTTAATTAAAAGGGATGTCAGACACTTCTGAAAAGGCTCTGGTAAATTGTCAAATTCAACAAAAGAAAGAAAATTTTAGATAAAGCACCTTATGTAAATTAGGCCTTCCCCCAGCCCAATTTCCTTCCTTCTTCTAACCACTGTTACCATCATTTTAGGTGACTTTTGTCTGGCATTTAAAAATGAAATGCGATTCTCTTATTCACTCCTTGGCAACATTCCCTGAAATATTCTACTAAGTGTTTTCAATTATTTGCCAGTCCCAATAGAATCTCAGTAAGATGTTTTAAAAAGATATCTTATCCAGCACATAATATTTTGCAGTTCGAACGCTATCCATATTGCAATATAGATAAATTAAGCAATGCTAATGAATCTCATAACTTTAAATCAATACATTTGTAAATGACTAACCATATATTCCAAAAGGTTTAACATTTTTAAAGGTCATTTTCAATTCTTTGTCTTAGAAAGATCATCAAATTTATAAGCAACAAAATTGCAAAAAACTAAAACTAAAATTATTACTAAAACTGGACCTCTAGTATTATTTGATTGCATAGATTTGATTGTATAGATTTTTATTAAATTTTGTAGAAAATAAGGTACTTATTGGTATTTAACTTATTAAAGTTTATAAATAGAAAAAAATGCCTTACGTATGTGGTACCAGAGTTACTGAGCGGAAACCACATGAGAATTTGAAAGAGAACTCTTGGGTCCTAGCGCAGGCTTCACAGTGTTTTAAGATGTGTGGCCGTTTGCAGAGTATTTAAACATTTCATACTTCAATTTCTCTGTCCTTGAAATGGTGATAATAATGTGTGCCCTGCGTATCTTATGGGAATGTCATAATATTTAAATACACAAAGGTATGCCAAGGACTTTGTACATTCTAATGTGCTGGTGCATAAATGAAAGGCATCACTATCAGTTTTTCTTCCAGTTTTGCTAGATCTCATGGCCACTCTTGAACAAATGATGGATTTAAAACAGATCATCATTTTCATCTTCTCTCCAACTCTTTTAGTGATAAGGGTAAACAAAGAAAAACCCTATTTAGAGTCCTGTCTGGTTGGTGGCAACATTTCTAATTTGTGGTCATGTTTTTCTGAAGACTCATCATGTGCTTAGAGATTTAAGACCTGAGACTTCAGGAAGTAAAACAAGCAGGAGAGGGAAGTATAATCCTGTTAATAGATGTCTAAGATTGAATTGTGATAATTAGGAAGAAATGGGTTAGGAAAGTGAGCAATTTTATAGATCGCAGATCTATTTTTTTAATAACCTCTCAGATGTTACAAGATTGCATATCTATTTTAATGATTCTTGAGATGTTTCTAATCTTAAGGCATGGTTATGGAATTTTTAGTAAAAACATAAATGAAAGCTATAAATGAATTTTTAGAATGTTGAAATCAAGAACTCACAAACTCTTGTTGCAATCTGGAAAAATATAAATTATCCAAGCAAGTCGACCCTTGTCAAATTCCTATTTTGATAGAGTAACAAGGCTGGGAATATTATTGCTGGGAAAACACTCTGCTTGGTTAATTAAAAAAAAAAAGTAAAATCCTTTGTCATTTGCCATCAGGATAAATGCTGTAATAAGTAATTGTTCTCTGAGTAGCAGCTTCTCAAAGGTGTCATTTCATTCCCTTTTTTGCATGTTTCACAAATTTGAATATTCCCGAAAGACAGTAGTATGCCTTCAGCATGAATAAGGTGATTATAGGATGACAGAATTTTTCTTGAGAGCCATTTTAAGAGTCATTATGTATACTTTGTCAGCTTGCTGTTGGATGCCAGATGCATTAGGTGATGAGACTACTATTTAAAATAAAACAGAATAAAAACAATTATGGCAATTGACCAGTTGCAAACTGAAAAAAGTCTGCATGTTATAATTTTTAAAAGTGTATTTTTGCATCCAGGGACATGTGATTTAAACTTAATGGCTGTGCCCATTGACTTTTCAGTTCTCCTTCATGTCTCTTATTGATTTCCAAGTTATGAAGATTAGGTGGCAGTGATGCAAAGTTCACTTTTGCTCCTGCATAGGTCCTAATAATCAGGCTGCAAACAATCTTCTTTTCCCCACAACTGGTTGTAATCAACACAAATCTAAGTTTTATAATTTGCTGCTGTTTTATAACAATAGAGAAATTTCTGAGGCTGTTTTCGAAAAACCGTGCCTGAGGAAAAGCTGCTCTTGAGGAAGAAAAAGTTACCTAACTGATGTGCCTTTAATTTTCAACAGTTCAAGCTGTCCACAGATATGAACATTTTATAGTTTTGGCCAATAAAATTAGATCATTAGGTGCCAGTGTGTGCATTATTGACTTTTTTGAGAAAGAGAAATGATGGAGAAAGGTATGTTATACTATCCTATAGTCTAATTCCCAAACTTTTTGCTTGAAGGTGCCACAAAGAAGTGAAGAATGTTGTTGATTATTTATTTATGTATTTATTTATCCTCCTCTGAAATTCAAGCTGCCTATTTGGACCACTTAGGTTTGGAACTAGAGATCTGGCAAAGCATGAAGATTCTTTATTTGTTCAACAGATAAATTTGAACAGGCACCTTGGCTCATGCCTGTAATCCCAACACTTTGGGAGGCGAGGGCAGGTGGATCACCTGGGGTCAGGAGTTCAAGACCAGCCTGACCAACATGGTGAAACACCATCTCTACTAAAAATACAAAAAAAAAAAAAAAAAATTAGCCGGGCAAGGTGGCAGGTACCTGTAATCCCAGTTACTCAGGAGGCTAAGGCAGGAGAATCGCTTGAACCTGGCGGGGCAGAGGTTGGGGTGAGCTGAGATTGCACCACTGCACCCTAGCCTAGGCGACAAAGCGAGACTCTGTCTCAAAAAAAAAAAAAAGATATTTATTCAGCAAATACTGTGTATCAGGCTCTGTTCTACACACAGGTGATGTGGAATTTGGGAGACAAGCACAGTTCCCAAAGTCCCTGTTGTAATGGGACTTACATTTACTATGCAGACAGTAAAGAAAACTTTCTCTGGGGAGGCGACATGGGAACTGAATCCTGGACAATAAGAAGGAGGAGTTGCTGGGCAGAGAGATCAACAAGTACAAAGTCCGAGAGGAAGAAATGAGGTTGGCATATTTGAGATACTAAACGAAAGCCAACCTGGCCACGGCCGAAGTATGAGAGTAAGGGGGAGAGTGGCATAAGATGAGGTCAGAGAGAACTGAGCGTCAGTCTAGTTGTTTTTGCACTTTAAAAATACACGTGAAAAAAATAGTAAAAATTTAAAACGATGAACAACTCATGATGTCACAAGTATATTACCAGCATGCTTTGACCAGCTAGTCTGACATTACCCGAAGATGAAAATGAACAAAGGAGTAGCATGACCCTGCCTGATAGACACTATTCTGCTGGATGATTGATGAAACTTAAGGAAAGAAGGGTCACCTGATCTGCAGGCCAAAAATATTGCAAACATTCTAACATAAAGGGAAATTAAAAATTTTATGTCCTCTAACACAGCAGAAATAAATGGTATCTAGATTTCGTTCTTAGGGAGAAACTAGATATCTAGATTTAGGTCTTAGGGAGAAACCACTTCATTCATCTAAAAAATTGTCTGTGTCAGAGACTGTGGTATTATTATTACATATATGGGTTTTCATCCATGGCTAAGAGCTCACAATGCCTACAACCCTTGTTATAGTCCTCTGTCGTGATGCTGGGGCACTTTAGGCCTCAAGAGCAGGACTCAGGAAACAGAATCTCTCTGACTTTCTCCTCCTCCTCTTACCCACCCAAGGCAGGAATCTAATCTGATTGTGGGTCAAAAGAACCTCATTCCAGATGGGGTCCTGCCTTGTATTCTGGAGGAAGAAACGCTGCTCAGAGGTGCCAAGAAGAATCTGAATGGCCGCTCCTTGCTGGGTTTCCCCATTCCGACTATTAGTATGAGATCATACCCTTTTTGTCCAATCACTGTTCTACACAGTTGTCAATCATGCCTACATAACGAGGTCTCCAAAATAGCCAAGAGGACTGACTAGGCTCAGAGCGTTTCCTCATAGCTCACCACGTGGAGGTTACTGGAGGATGGCACGCCCAGGGAGGGCATGGAAACTCCATGCCCCTTTCCCCATACCTCACCCTATGCATTTCTTCATCTGTATCCTTTGCAATGTCCTTTATAAGAAACCCATAAACACAGTTAAGTGTTTCCCTGAGTTCTGTGAACTGCTCCAGCAAGTTAATCAAATGTAAAGAGGAAATTATGGAAACTCCAACTTGAAAACATTTGGCCAGAAGCTCTGGAGGCCTGGACTTGTGACTGGCATTTGAAGGGAGGGGGCCAATCTTGGGGTCTGAGCCATCAACCTGTGGGATCTAAAGCTATCTCCCGGTAGACGGTGTTGGAATTGAATCCAAGGACACCCAGCCAGCATCCAGTGCTTCTTGGTGGGAAAAACAAACAAACCTACATTTGGTTATAGGAGTCTTCCATGTTGATTGTTATGGTGTTAAGAGCAGAGGGAAAATGAGGTTCTAGAATTTTCTGAAACAGAAACAGAATGTCAACCAGAAGTCTGTTCATCTTATTTCTCCCACCTCTTTCTCTTTAGGTAGAAGGGACATATGATTATGACCTCATATTTTTTAAATATTCTAAAAGAGTGAATGTTGCCAAAAAGCTTTTAGAATAAGGATTTTTAAATCTAGGCTTTGAGAGTTAGTGAAACCTTCTGAGATTGCATATACGATTCTGTACATCCCTGTGCATCTGTGAGTGTGAAACACTAGAGTGTAGTGGGCTGTAGATTCCGGTAGATGCTGGAGCCACACTGCCTGGGTCCAGATCCCTCTGCTCTTCCTCTCCTTAGCATGTGACCTTTGACAAGTTTCTTATCTGTACCGGTATCACTTCTTTTGAAAAATGGATATAATAATATTACCTACCTGATAGAATTGTTTTGATGCTTAAATGATTCAATGCATAGAAAAGCATATAGTACAGTTTCTGGAACATAAAAAGCATACTGTGTAAGTATCGCTTGTCATTACGTGAATGTTTCTGGGAAGAAAGTCCGTGCAAAACCCCCTTACCCTTCATTCCAATAAAGAAAGTTAAAAAAAAAAAAAAGAAAAAGAAAAAAAGAAAATAAAAAAAAAGACTGAGTACCACAGGAAGGATTATCTTTTAAAGTGGCAATAGACTAACCTGTCGAGGTAATTAACATATCAATCTGCATGTTATTTCCTCTCTGATGATATATTCAGTATTCTGACCTTGTTTTGGAATCACTACTGCTAACTTCTTACTTTCTTTTGTTATTAATTTTTTTCAGTGTCATATTAAAGATTTTGTTCCAGTAAAAATAGTAAAAAATGACTTAACCTTGAAATCTACTTCCGACATAGAATTATCTATCATGAAGGAGAAAAAAATTATAGTTAGTTTAAATAGAATTTTTGAAATAATCTTCAGTTAAAGCAATTATGGCTTTTTAAAAAGGTTCTGTCTGTTGAGGGTTTAATAGAATTTTCTACTGAATTCCAACTCTGGTAACCTTCTATGAACTCTAAAATACAGAGCACTTCCCACCAATAATAACCAGACTTGTGCATTTGAGCGTGTCAATGGCTGGTACATGCTGGAAGAGAGCTTTCCAAAATGCTAATGGGAGAAGTATTCCTCTGAGTTGAGTTTTCTTTTTCTCTTTGACACTTCCCTGATGCCCAGAACCATGGTGGGGGCCGTGAGTGTTTCTTAAGCCTATGCACTGTCTCATCTGTGGTTTGAGTTCTGTAGTTGTGATAAAGCTATACAGTGCATGCCTTGGTGCATACAATTTCACAGAAAAAAAAATGAGGTAAATTGTGGTCAGCTCCCAACAGTCATTTTTCAGTCTATTTAGCACATAATGTCACTGAAATAAAAAAGCATGTGTTTATATGTAGAAACACATGAAAAAAAAAGTCAGAAAACTACTTAAAATCAAATAGGAATGTCCTATTGAAATCATAGCCAGGGTTAAATAAGCATTCGTGTTCTAGTCTAGGAATCTAACCCTTTATTTGTCACATTTTCTATAAGCAAAGGCATTTTGTTGTTCAAATCATCAACTTACCAATAAATGTTTAAAACACAAACTTTCTGAAAGCAGGGCGATCCCTTCACATAAACCTATGTTTCAGCAGATACTCTTCAATGCTTTCTGCCAGTGCACCCCTGCTCCTACCCCCCAATATCCACCTTTCATTTTTACACAGTTTTGATTTCTAGCATATTTTCCCATGAGTATTCTACTTGATCAGTCATTCTGATTAGTCTGATTGACAATGTTTGGGATCAAATCTGTTCAATTTGTCTATACAACATTGAATGAGGCTACTGTCAACAGGGTCCAAGCAGCAGAATGAAGCCTATTCAAGAATGACCTGAACGATGGCCCTTAGTCCTGGTCCTGGACTCAACCATCTGAACAAATCCCAGGGACCATTAAGGTCTACCTTATAAAGCCAGGTAACTTTCTTTATAAGTTCCTATATTAACTTTTCCTTTAGATCCAAGGCAATAATCTAAGTACAGCATGATATATTAGTGATCGCATAGACTGCCTTTGCCTGCAAGGAAGAAGTCTATGCATTACTTATAAACAGCTTGGCCAGTAAATTGAGGCTGACCTGGATTCCTTCCAGGGCCAATGTAGTATAATTGATCAATTTAACTAAAGTCAAGGAAGGACAGATTTTGTACCACCTTTTGTAACCAGAAGGATAGCATCACAGTTTGGGGGAAGGTAGTAAATTAATGCCTCACTCCCACACAAGAGGTACAATTCCAAGCACACACACGGTGACTCTGAAAAGAAAGTATTGTTTACAAATGTTGGGGTCTCCCAAGTGGGACCTACATTATTCAAAGGGCAGAGGTTGGCAGAGCCTCTGAGGTAGCTTCCTGGCTGGTTGGTAGGCTTTGGGATTCCTAGTTCTGTTCAAATAATTGAGTCTAGTCCTTGCATTTTGAAGGCGCTTGGTCCCATCTGTCCTGTTTATCCACACCACTATCCAGGTGGCATTCATCTGTCCCTTGGAATGACTGAGAATGGCTAGGCGGGGGGTGGGGGACATGTGGAGGTCTCTTGCATGGGAGGAGCAGGAACTGAGGCCATCTGCTTTTTCCAATAGACTCTCAGCAAGGTTAAGAAAAAAGGCAATCAAATCATGATCAGAATCCTCTGGTAGGGGATGACAGACTGTACGTGGGTTAAACGTGAGGCACTTGTAGAAGTTTGGGAGCTCCACATGAGGGCATCTTCCTGCAGGAGAAAGGGCCCGGGGATAATTTTGAAAGACAACATATTATTAATGATCCTCTATCTTCTATATGTCCGAAATCTAAAATGCTCCTTGTTGCTGTCTTTCCATTGCCACAGAATGGGAGTGTTCTATTCCAGTATCTATCACATTGCCTTTATTTCTGATTATCCCCAACCCACACACAAACCTTTTGTCTGGAAGGGTTAGTTACAAGAAGAACAAAGGTATTTTTATAAAACTTAACTAGGATTCATTTTGAATCCTCTAGGCTGGCCCTCTTTTGGCCAGGCTTCCACTTGGAGAATGTATCAACCAGCCTGAGCTAGGGTTGCTCTTTGGGGAAAGAAAGACACATAATGCTTAGCATGGTCAAGGCGGAATCCTGAATTTTCAAAATATGTCTATGTAATTTCTAACTCCTTTCATCTTGATCATTACCTAAGAAGCAGCTGAGAAAGGGTGATCCTTTCATGAGGTCAGTGACCAAATTGTCTTCCTATTTTGTATGGGCCAGAGTGTGATGAGGGAGGCAGAGAGAAATCTTTTCAAGCCAATTTTCAAGGAGGCTGATTTACTACTCAATAATACCAGATGCCTCTAAGTGGTAGGGAGCATTGAAAGTCCATTACATACCTTAACTCTCAGCTGACTGTTGAGCTGATCTTGTAATGAAGGGTACTTCACTGTCAGATTGCAAATGGCCCACAAAGCCAAAAACAAAACACAGATTCATTTTGACAGCCACAGTGTTGTAGTGGGAGCTAGCTTATTGGACTGGAATGGCAAAACTATAACCCGAAAAAGTTCAACAGTGGTCAGGCACCATCCATAGCTTTCAGAAGGGGCTGGAAGTCAGATGTAGGCATGAACAATGGCCAATGTGATTTAGCCTTACTCACTATAAAAGAGATGGGTCAACTTTTGGCAGGAATCACAAGTTTGTCATTCAGTGCATGCCTCTGCATCAGAAATGTAGTGTCCTTTACTCCATAGCCAGTCTATGATGGTGGCTATGTAGCATATCTGGCATGACAATGGATAAAGACAACCATGGAGGCAACAGGCTTAATCAGCATCTTGATTCCGGTTGGTTTCTTCAAGGAAAGGGCCCTGTGGAGCTTCCAGCTTTTCCTCAGTTGCAGAGTAGAGGAGAAAATTCCCCCCATTGGAACAGCTGTTACATTGTCACATAAAGCAAAAATGCATCTGTGACAGACCATATATATCCTCGAATACACCATTTTTATTGGACAAATAAAGTTTTATTTGGCCTTTTCCATCTCATTAGTCATGGAGTCTGAGTTAACCAAACCCCAAATGGGAATAACAGACTGCGGAGCCACAAGATCTCCATGGGTCAGACATTTCATTTCAACAAGAGCCCAGCAGCAAAACAAGATCTGCTTTTTAAGCAGTGTAGCTGGTAGCCATGTTGGGAAGGTGACAAGTCCAAAACCCCAAGTGGCCCTCCAGATGGAGGTTGCCTTCCTTTTCCAGGGGCTCTGTTAGAAAAATTCATTAGTCACAGAGACTTGAATCTCAAAGAAATCATTAGGGTTGTGGGACCTCAAAGGTAGAGAGCATACTCCATCTTGTTGGACAGTTTCCAGTGCAGCCTATTGGTTTGGTTCCCACTCAAGGATGCTAATTTATGGGTTAGCCAGTATGAGGGACCAAGTAGCATGCACAGGTGAGGAATACACTGCTCTATGATTCCAATAAGCTGGGCCTGCTTCATGGTGCTCGGGCTAGTAGAGGATGCTTTGCTTGCTGAAGAGAATGAGCATTGTGAAGCCAATCACATAGTTCCAAGAATCTTTACTGGGTGAGCAGCTCCCTACATTTGTGACAACACTGTAGTTAAGCCATAGAGGCTGAGGCTTCTGGATTGCCACTCAACAGGACATTATATGTACACAGTGGAAGTTCTGGACATTACAGAGTAGAGGCAATTGTGCTAAATTCTGAACCAGCTACTGGTGGCAAATGGCAGGGATGTTGACCTTATACTCGCTCCTCTACATGCTTCTCTTCCCCATTAGAAGAATCTCCTATGACCCTTACAGGGCAAGGAAGTACAAGCTTTTAACTCATCAATTCATCTATACATTTATACAGTGAAGCAATTTTAAAGGCATATTGAATGGACACAAAGGACTCACTCATAAGGTCACATTAGCCTCTCAACACTCAACACCTAAACCCCCACAAGGTAATCAGAATAGTTCTTCTCTCAGGGATTAGGGCACATAGCTGATTTTAATTTCAGTGCCTGTATCTGATGGATCCATATAACTTTGATTCTCTGTACTTCTTAGAGTTTCCCTGCATACTCAGAAAGATTTTTTTTTCAGTCCCCATTGGAGACAAGGAAACCTTGGTCCAATCCTGATATGGTTTGGCTGTGTCCCCTCTCAAATCTCATCTTGAATTGTAGGTCCCATAATTCCCGTGTGTTGTGGGAGGGAACTGGAGGGAGATAAATGAATCATGAGGGGCAGTTTCCCCCATACTGTTCTCGTGGTAGTGAATAAGTCTCATGAGAACTGATGTTTTTATAAGAGGTTTCCGTTATCACTTAGCTCTCATTCTCTCTTGCCTGCTGCCATGTAAGACATGCCTTTCCACCTTCTGCCATGATCATGAGGCCTCCCCAGACATGTGGAACTGTGAGTTTATTACACTTCTTTTGCTTTATAAATTACCCAGTCTCCAGTATGTCTTTATCAGCAGTGTGAAAACAGACTAATACAGTAAATTGGTACCAGAAGTGGGGTGCTGCTGTAAAGATAGCCAAAAATGTGAAAGTGACTTTGCAACTGGGTTACAGGTAGAGTTTGGAACAGTTTGGAAGGCTCAGAAGAAGGTAGGAAAATGTGGGAACGTTTGGAACTTCCTAGAGACTTGGAGGGCTCAGAAGATAGGAAGATGTGGGAAAGTTTGGAACTTCCTAATGACTTGTTGAATGGCTTTGACCAAAATGTTGATGGTGATTTGGACAATAAGATCCAGGCTGAGGTGGTCTCAGACAGAGATGAGGAACTTGTTGAGAACTGGAGTAAAGGTCGCTCTTGCTATATAACGAGACTGGTGGCATTTTGCCCCTGTCCTAGATATCTGTGAGATAATTTAGTGTATCTTGTGGAAGAAATTTCTTATTGGTAAACTTTTCAAGAGGAAGAAGAGCATAAAAGTTTGGAAAATTTGCAGCCTACTGAGGCAATATAAAAGAAAAACCCATTTTTTGGGAAGAAATTCAAGCTTGCTGCAGAAATTTGCATAAGTAATGAGGAGCCCAGTGTTAATCACCAAGAAAGTGGGGAAAATGTCTCCCGGGCATGTCAGAGACTTTTGCAGCAGCCCCTCTCACCACAGGCCTGGGGGGTCTAGGAGGAAAAATGGTTTTGTGGGCCAGGCCCAGGGCCCCGCTACTGTGTGCAGTCTAGGGACTTGGTGCCCTGCATCCCAGTTCCTCCAGCTGTGGCTAAAAGGGTCAAGGAACAGCTCAGACTGTGGCTCCAGAGGGTGTAAGCCCCACACCTTGGCAGTTTTCTTGTGGTATTGAGCTTGTGGGTACACAGAAGTCAAGAATTAGGTTTGGGAACCTCCACCTAGATTTCAGAGGATGTATGGAAACACTTGGATGTCCAGGCAGAAATTTGCTGCAGGGTGCCTCTGCTAGGGCAGTGCGAAAGGGAAATGTGGAGTTGAAGCCTCCTTACAGAGTCCCCACTGGGGCACTGCCTAGTGAAACTGTGAGAGGAGGGCTACCATTCTCTACACCCAAGAATGGTAGATTCACTGACAGCTTGCACCATGCACCTAGAAAATCCACAGACACTCAATGCCAGGCTGTGAAAGCAGCTGAGAGGGGGCCTGTACCCTGGAAAGCTACAGAGGCAGAGTTGCCCAAGGCTGTGGGAGCCTACCTTTTGCATCAGCGTAACCTGGAGGTGAGACATGAAGTCAAAGGAGATCATTTTGGAAGGTTTAATGACTGCCCTGTTGGATTTTGTACTTCCATGGGTCCTGTAGCCCTTTTGTTTTGGACAATTTCTCCCATTTTTAATGGGAGTATTTCCCCAATGCCTGTATCCCCATTGTATCTTGGAAGTAACTGACTTGCTTTTGATTTTACAGGATCATAGGCAGGATGGACTTGCCTTGTCTTTGGACTGTGTACTTTTGAGTTAATGCTGAAATGAGTTAAGACTTTAGCGTACTGTTGGGAAGGCGTGATTGGTTTTGAAATGTAATTTCAAATGAAATATGATTTGAAATGAGATTTGGGAGGCGCCGGGGGCAGAATGGTATGGTTTGGCTGTGTCCCCACCCAAATCTTATCTTTCATCTCAAATTGTATCTCCCATAATTCCCACATGTTGTGCAGGAATGTGGTGGGAGAGAACTGAACCATGGGGGTGATTTCCCTCATACTGTTCCCATGGTAGTGAATAAGTCTCACAAGACCTGATGTTTTAATAAGGGGTTTTCCTTTTTGCTTGGCTCTCTAACCTGCTGCCACATAAGATGTGCTTTTCACCTTCTGCCATGATTGTGAGGCCTCCCCAGCCACATAGAACTGTGAGTTCATTAAACCTATTCTTCTTTATAAATTACCCAGTTTTGGGTATGTCTCTGTCAGCAGCATGAAAACAGACTAATACAAATCCCTAATCATCTTTTTCCTTAAAAAGCTAAAGTCAGGGGAAAGGGAAGAAGGTGATCAGAGGTACTGAGGGGGAGACCAGATCCAGGCCAGGAAGCAAGGCACAATGGCTGCTTATGGCTCAACCCAAGGAGCTGCCATGTGTTTCGTCCTCCCAAAGCCTGATTTGGGTTTTGAGGATTTCTTGACCCTTCCTCCTTCTGCTTGGAAGAGAGGGGCAACAACTACAGCATCATTCAGTTTTTGTTTTTTTAATTTTTAATCCAACTCTTATTGCTCAAATTTTAACCATTTATCAACAAT
The DNA here is from genome assembly GCF_000001405.40 of Homo sapiens. Lineage (NCBI taxonomy): Eukaryota > Metazoa > Chordata > Mammalia > Primates > Hominidae > Homo > Homo sapiens. The sequence goes on from NC_000006.12 coordinate 22,780,820, forward strand.
AGGGTAGCAGGGGATCCTTACTCCTTCAACCCCTTGGCTCACTACTTGGACAAAAGCATTTGCTTCTGGATTCCACAGAGTCTTCTCTTATCTCCCAACCTTACCTACAAAGCACTTTCCCCTTTCCCAAAGGTTATGCATTTGCCACATCCTGTCCGTGTTGCCAGAAACATTCACACACTCTAAAGGGTCTGAAATTTTATCATTTTAAACAATTTAGCCTAGTATAGTTTTATCAATATTAGCAGGAGACATGAGACTCCTAGGTCAGAGAAAACAACTTTATTACTCATGGCACAGCAGTTAGCATAAGCTTCATGTTCACATTGGTGCCTTATGCCCCTGGTGTCCCACGGAAGTGACACAGAGGGGCCCAGGTGATTGCTGTGCATACAGTGGGTTTGTGTCACAGCTGAGGGACCCAGGATTTAGGAAACTCCAATCTCTTATAAGGAGGTGCAAGCGAAACTGTGCAATCATTGCTCAAGAAAGAGACATTATCTTTATTATGCTGGAGTGCAAACTTACTCTCTGTTGCAAAGGGAAACACAACCTCTGTCTTCCAAAATTGTTCATTATACAAATAGCTTTGTTAAAATAGATCATTGTAAAAGCACTATCGGTTACTAATATTGTTTGGCTCTGTGTCCCCCCCAAATCTCATCATGTAGCTCGCATAATTCCCATGTGTTGTGGGAGGGACCTGGTGGGAGATGACTGAATCATGGGGGCAGGTCTTTCCTGTGCTATTCTTGAGATAGTGAATGGGTCTCATGAGATCTGATAGTTTTTAAAAACGGGAGTTTCCATGCACAAGCTCTCTCTTTGCCTGACACCATCCACCTAAGATGCGACTTGCTCCTCCTTGCCTTCCGTCTTGATTGTGAGGCTTCCCCAGCCACATGAAACTGGGAGTTATTCATTAAACCTCTTTCCTTTGTAAATTGCCCAGTCTCAGGTATGCGTTTATCAGTGGCATGAAAATGGACGAATACAGTTACTCTGCCCTCAAGATGTGCAGATATATAAGTGATCCATGGAGAATTGTCTCCTTTATATCTAATTCATAGTGCTATTGGGACGATTAAATGAGATAAGATGATTATGAAACATTTAATTAATTAATATTAGTTATCATTCTAACTGATGTTATTTTTATAGAGGAAGATTTACTTTAAAAAATGGAGTTGATTTAAACATATATTAATTTACTGTTCTATAGTCTTTCGTAAAAGAAATATGACTATGCACACATGCAATGTTGTGAAAGCCAAAAGAACTATATATGCCTAAAAATACAAAAATAAGATTCATGTCCTAGTACACAGAAAATTCTAAACATGATCTAAATAAATAAAAAGCAGTTCCTGAAATCTTATACTAAATGGGTTTATGCATTTTAATATGGTTAAGTTTTGCCACAGTCATAACAGTTCCAATTGAATGCTTTAAGTTAATAAATAGATAATTAATATAATAATTAACAAATGTTTTGCTTAAGAGAGCAGATAAATATGCTTTTTGTTTCCAGAGCCTAAGTGGTGTTTTTAATGGCCTTGTATGTATTAGTCTTTTGTATATGTTATAAATATGTGGTTTTTCCAAGTTTGGCAATTATTTTTTTTTTTTTTTTTTTTTTTTTTGAGACGGAGTCTCGCTCTGTCGCCCAGGCTGGAGTGCAGTGGCGGGATCTCGGCTCACTGCAAGCTCCGCCTCCCGGGTTCACGCCATTCTCCTGCCTCAGCCTCCCAAGTAGCTGGGACTACAGGCGCCCGCCACTACGCCCGGCTAATTTTTTGTATTTTTAGTAGAGACGGGGTTTCACCGTTTTTAGCCGGGATGGTCTCGATCTCCTGACCTCGTGATCCGCCCGCCTCGGCCTCCCAAAGTGCTGGGATTACAGGCGTGAGCCACCGCGCCCGGCCCCAAGTTTGGCAATTATTTGTCTAGACCATCTGCTTCCCCCATTTCTAACCCAATTCCATATCTTAGTCATGGGGACTTAATGTTTTCTAAATTTTTGGTGGGGAAAACAGTACCTGTTTTTGTAGGACCACTTTGTAAGTGAACCTTACTATCCATTTTTGAAAATAGTTTTCATTAAGTAAAAATTTAAACATACACACAAGTAGAGCAAATAGTATGATGAAGTTGGTTTTTTCATCACTCAACTTCAATAATTATCAATTCATGGCTCACCTTGTTTCAACCCTGTTCATGCAAACATCCTGCTGCCTCCCTGATTATTTTTCAGCCAAGCCCAGACAGAATATTATTTCATCTGTATATATTTCAGTAAATTTTTCCAAAACTTAAGGATCATTGTTTAAATTCATAGCCACAATATCTTAATCACACTTATAATTTCTTAATATCACCAAATATCGAGTCAAGTTCACATTTGCCTGATTGTCTTATTATTAATTTACTTTAATTTTTATTTTCATTTAGTTCCATTTGACCAATTAATTCATTAACAGACACATGTCAGTTGAGATCCAAGTAAGGTCCCTGTGTGGAGATAGGAACCTATGTCTCTTAAGCCTCTTTTGGATACATTTGGCCCTAATTGCAACTTTTTTGGTTGAAAACTTAGATCATTTGCCCTATGGAGTTTTGCATAGCCCAGATTTTCCTCATTTTATCCCTATGGTGTAATTTGTCATATTCCTCGGTCCCTTGCATCTCTTACATCTAAAGACCTGGGAAGATTCACTTTCAGGTTTGCTTTTTATTCGTTGGTTTGTTTTGACTAGATGACCCTCAAAGGTGCTTTCACTCAAGAGTGTCATTAGGAGGTAATACATCAACAACTCCAGATCTGTGCCAGACTTCTTGTTTCATAAGGGCAACACATTTTAAATTCATTATTTCCGTAACGAGAACTTCCGCTCTTCAACTCTTCAGTTCCCCTGGGTTACCGATTATATAGAAAAGGTGAGAAAATTGTTTTCATCTTTCTTTTTACTTACTAGTTAGTTCTCATAAGGATGAAATGGTTTCTTAGCATCCTCCAAAGGTGATCAATTAGTTTTTTTTAAGTATCATTATAAATGCACAAATTTAAGCATATTTGATCTTTATGCCAAGGTAGATTTTGGCTTTACTGATGGTGAAATTTATTTCATCTTTGGCTTGAGAGAGTTTACCCAGTTTGGCTGCTAAATCTTTTTGTGTGACAAGATATCCATGTTCATTTTGTATGCTTCCTGCCCTAGACCTGGAGTCAGCCGTTTTTCGAAGAAGTCGTATCTTTTTTATGGGAAGTACTATTAATAGGCCACAATCATGACATTTTTAAGGAGAGAAACGAAGCACTCTAGATTGGGCAATCCAGGAAGCCAAATGGATTATGTTTGATACTAGACAAGGGAAAACAAAAGGAAAAAAGATGCTGGAAGAATTTCTGCTTTTTCTCTGTATCCACCAAGTCATAATATTAACCCTCTCCAAAAGGCAAAAGAAAGATTTAAATCAAATTACATCCATTGTTTCAGATAGGAGAGTCTAGCAGTTCCTGCTTGATTAAGCACATGCTTTTAACCTGAGGATGTTTATTAAGTGAAAAATTCTTAGTATTGCCATTAAGCACCCCCTTTAAAACTGAATGTGCTTTAAGATGTTTAAGAAATCATTCATGGTTTTCTATGGATGTGACTGGTTTAATAATGTTCCTCTTTAGTTTGTTTATGCAGCCTCGTTCAAAATGCCCGCTCTAGCCTGTTTTAAGCTTGCTACCATCTTTTGGTCTATTTCTGTGGATCGGAAACTAAGGAAAGTACTGGAAGGAGCAGAGATGTGCGTTCCCCACTGTGATCCCCAGTGCTGACGCAGCTCTGCATTTGGTGACCTGAAATCACAGAGCCTGTGGATGGGTGGCTCCTGGCTGGGATGTGCATTTTGATGCAGCTCCTATGGCAAATCTAATGGAAGGCTCTGGCTAGCTGATGCATAGCTGGCCCCCTGCCCTCCTTTAACACACAACGCATTCCTCATTCCACATACCACAGCCTATTTATGGATTCTGCTCGGACTAAGTCAGAAAATAAAATATGTTTTTGGCTTGTTTCATAAAACCGGACACAAAGGAAATGGAGGGAAAAAAATTGTTCCAACTCTCAGTCACATTTTAACATACAGATGGTAACTATAGGAGGTGTTAGTTGCAAAAAAAAAAAAAAATGAGTTGATCGGGAAGATTTGCTTGAGTGAATTTTGATTTTGTTTCCAGTAGACCTCTTCACATGGCATTGTTTATGCAAATAGGCCCTCTTTTCAGAAACCGTCTGGCTTCAGAAAACCCGTCAGTAGAGCATAAAAGCTAAGTTGTACAGCAGCAGTTAGCAGACCTTAACGCCAGCTGAATGGAGCACAGGATGAATCTGCAGGCAGGCAGGAAAACAGAGGAGCTATTCTTCTCTGGGTACCAATGGTATGGAGGGAAGTCAGCAGACCCTGGAGGAAGACAGAAAAGGCCTGGAGAAAAGGGGCCGTCACCCTCCGCTAGAGAGAAAGAAAAACCTCCAGTCACGGAAGCCCAGGATTTTACACACAAGTGTGCTGAAAAGATAAAAACAGATTTTATCCTTGCTCCTGTGTTTTCAGTGGTTCTGATATATGAAAACATATTTGTCTCTCTTCATCTTTCACTCCTCTTAGATGAGATTTAGGGAAAGGAAGTAATAGTGTTATTTACTCACAAAAAATAAAATGAGCTTTTGTCTCCATTTTCCTCTTCATTTGTATCCTGATTAGCATTTCTTACAGGAACAGATATTGATGGCAGAGGTACAATGGGAAGTGTGAAGGTTTTTTTTTTTTTTTTTTTTTTAATTGGTAACCTGTTTTTTCCTGGACAGGGTGCTGGGCATGAAAAGCTGGACATCTCCATTTTATTACAGTTTGCTTATAATTATATGTGTTTAGATAGAGGGGTGTATATACCACCCCCCACCACACACACACACAGAGTATATACATCATTCAGGGGGTGTTCTAAAAATATAAACATTGCATTAAGTATAATGATTTTATAAATCAACTAGCAAGGAACAAAGAATCATATAAATTCTGAGTAGATTCTGTTTACCTTAAATTATTTTTTTTCTGTTTTACATTTTGTGAGAAGCCTGGATTTTTTTTTCATAGAATTTTCTATGGAAAAGGTAAGAGGCATAAAATCAGAGGTGTTGAAAGCACTTCTTGTCAATAGATTGAACAACAGTTGATTCCATTTTTTCCCTTGCACCATTTATTATAACTTGGTTTAGAAACAGCTCAGATTCTCTTTTTACCTGTGTGAATGACTATTCTTTATTAACCGAACACATAAAAAAATGTAATGATACAAGTTGCATAATGTAATACAATTGTTTAAAAATACAGAAAACATCAAGATTCCAGTAATGAATATATGCTTTTTACTTCAGCATAGGACAGTGTTTATTGCATTTATTCTGGCCATGGCTTTCAGAGTATTATTTGTGTTTTAAACTAGCATAGAAAAACCATTCATTCTGATCAGGGATAAAATTTTTAAAAAAACCACCCTAAGCTGATGCTACATAAGGGAAATGAATAATGTATTTTTAATTTGAATAGATCTGCTTCTTTTGCTTTTGCTACCTTTTAAAGTGAGGAACGAGCCCTGGAAGTCTTTTTTAAGAGCACTGTGTAACGACCAGGACCTTCAAAAAGCTTTGTCTTTGTGGAGTTTGGAAATTGCTGGTCATTCTGACCACATTAGAAGCGCATCTTTTTGAACTACAGAAACTAAAAAAAAAAGAAGAAAAAGAAAAAAGTACAGAAAGAAGAGAAGGGCATCATCTGCATTTCATGGGCCTGGCCTTCTTTGGAAAGGTTATTGCCGTGGCTCTGCTTTATCACTCACAAGAATAACAATAACATTTTAGGTGGAAAGTTGGGGGCTCTCCACAAAGGGTTATTTTCCATCTGTCATCAGTTTGGGTTTTGCATATCAATAAAAAATTAATAAATTAATTTCAGGCATATATGACACAGTTAATGTGGAAGGTCTATTGTTCGGAGAGGAATAGTATATTCTTATCAGTGGATTTAAACAGCTATTCATCATTTCTAAAGGGCAATTATTTGGAATCCATTAAACTGGAATTCATAATACCCCTGCATACTGAATTTTAAATAGAAATCTGTATTTAGATGAAGGAATACATTAGGATAAGTCATTAGAGCACTGAAAATCCATGACTTGTTCATTTTTCACTTTTTTTTTTTAACAGATAATATGAAGCACCAGGGATCTTGGTCCTTTAATAAAACCAAACAGAAAGAAAACCGTGCACTCTTTTTTCAGTAGCATTGCTATGGATAATTATGTTTTCTTTTTTATCTTCATGTTCCAGTTTTTCTAATTATTACTCAGAAAATGAATCATCTCAAGGAAAAATTCCCAGTTTGCAACAGAAAACTCCT